>NC_000006.12:103858668-104010183 GCF_000001405.40 Homo sapiens | reverse complement strand
TGAGGCAAACCTGTGACAGAGGATTAGCAAAAACAAAAAAAGTAGCAAGAGGAGGAATAAAGAAAGATAATAAACTGAGATAAACTTCACTGTCAGTTAAATGGAAAATTCCATTATTCAGAACATTCCATTTTTAGGACCCACAATTCAACTGAGCTGGTACTGTATTTAGCAATTTCACAAAAGCTTTCCACTTAGAAAGCAGAAATATAGCAACAGAGAATGTCAGAACTGAAAAAGACCTTCAATATTTTCTAGTCTAACCTCACTTTACACGAAGTAAATTGAGGTCCACATTTTTTAAGAATTTAAGAAAAGTTGCAGTTACTTGGTGCCAAAGGCAAGACTTCAACCCAAATGTCCTGATTTAAAGTTCATTACTCTTGCCACATTCTCCTCTAAGAATTCTTTCTCTCCCAGTAGGAAATAATATTTTCTTTCTTCAGGAAATGTAAAATTTTTTTTCCTTTCATAAAAAAATTTTCTGTCACTTTTCTCTCCAGGAGTGGTATGGAATAGTCATCTTTTTTCTTTTACATAGAAGCTAGAGCTAGATTTAGCCTCAACTGCATAACATGATTTTCATGTTACATAATAGCATTTTTTATTTGTCTATTATTGTGTGGGTTTGAAGGTACTTCATATTTTACATATTGTGAAGCCTTTAGATAGAGAAGGTAACTTTATCCCTGTTGTACAAAGATAAGCTCATTAGAGATGAAACCAGGACCAGAGCCTGGGGCTCCTGATTCTCTGCCACCCTATACTTGGGCTGCACTGGGTTTTATGATTTTAGTCAAGTTTCTCATCCTCTTCGTGAATTTGTGTTCTTATTTTTAAAATAATGGAAATAATTTGTTTTACCACATAGGGAAATTATAAGAATAAGATGAGATATTAAATAGGAAAGCCATTTGAGAAAAGATTATATCCTTTATAGCAAATATAATAAACTCATAATTCAAGCACTTATAACATGAGGAGGGTTGGACAATCATTGCTAGGTTATTCTAGATGAGTGAATTAGGCTAATTTACAACTGGGTTAAGTTGTTTTCCACATAAAATTTTTTGCCTTAAGATAAAATGCATAAATTCTTAAGTTGTTTATTCTTCAAGTAAATGTAATGATAACAATAATAAACTCCAGGCCCTGTGCTGTAAAGCTACGATTGCTCTTGGTCACCAGGTACTAAGTGATGCATTCTAGCCTCTGAGGAAACGGGTCTGTGTGATGAAAAACCAACGTGTTAAATCCCTAACTCCCCTAAATCACTCAAAATATTGTGCAAAGATGAAAATGGCAGAGAAAGTGATTGGATGCATGGTATACTTTTTCTACCTTCACAGCCTGCAGCTGATTTTCTTTGCTTGCTCTCTGCTAAAGCTGTTAGGAAGATAAACCAACTACTATTGGCTACATAAATATGGAGTTGTCTAAAGCACTGGCTTCTATTCCAAAATTTAGGTTTATTTTCCCAGACCGGCCTCTGAAAGACCTAACTTTTTTAGATCCTGAGAAGATGAAGGTCTGTTTGAGCACTCCTCTGTGCTAGACCCTGTGCTGTGGGTTTCAAAACATTACCTCCTAAAAACTTTACAACAACTCTTTGACCTAGGTACTATTATTATCCACATTTACTAGAAATAGATAATGAAGCTTAGAAGGATTTAGGAACATACTGAGGGTCACACAGTCAGTAGGGGTTGAACCAAGACAGCCTGACTTTGCAGTCTTCTACATTCTTAGTCACTGAATACCTCTCCTGGTGACACTTGCCCCTGAAATATATTAAGGGAAACAAATACCACTGAAATCACAATTAACTTATTGCCAACTGGGACAGCTATGTTTCAAGATTTGTTCTGGTTTTTAGTTTTTGTAAGCCATTTCTTCGAATGTTATACTCAATGGGTTTCAACTTTATTTAAGGTCTATACAGTACAATAATAATATTTGTATAAACACCATTAGAGGTTTCAAATGAACAAAGCTAAGTTTTATACTTGACTCATGGAGCAGAACAAAATGCTACAAATTGCAGCTACATTGAAGTAGAAAAAAATGATAGAAATATTGCTTTTCAAACTATTTTAATCTCTAGCCAACCTGTTTTTCATCAATAGTACCTATTAATGTCATCACTTTCAGCATTTGATTTTTAATTAGAGTTTTAATATGACACAATGATTGTTCAGCCCCTTCTTTACCACCTTTAACTACATCTTAGTTCTTCCACATTGAGTTAAAACTTTCAAAAACTGATAAATATGGGAAATTAAGACAAATATTCTATAAGATGTAAATGAGGTATGATAATTTGAAAATTATAAAGTTGTTAGATAGCAATGCATGCATCCTATCAGAAAGCATGTCAGTTATCTTCATACACAGCTTGAAATGTAAACGCAGATGATTAAACATCTTTCTCCTGTTAGAAAAATAATTTCCTTCTACTCTGGGGTTTTGAAACTTTGGTTTTTCAGGAATAACAACGAGATGAGAAATAAGAATGCAAAACTTATGGAAAATTTCAACTTAAAGAACCTAGTATGGAAATGGGAAATTTTGCCCTTGAAATTTTAAATCTGAAAGTGTGTTATGATAGACTACTAACACCCTAATATGTTGCCAGACGTTAATAAACTGAGATTAGCTCAAGATTCAGGGCCTTAGGATGAAATCTCTGGGAAAACTAACTTTAAGCCAAGATTCAATCATTCCTAATGGTAAAATTCTAAGGAACTTTAATTCATCAAACATTACTTATTGCATGAAGAAAAAGATGACAGGAGTAAGATTCAGGAAATAAAGTCTAGAAGCATCTCAGCAACAACTGCAGATTCTGAAATTTTAGTCATTAAATAGAAAATAAATATGTTCAAAATATTTAAATAAATGAAACAGTATATTAATAAGTAAAGGCTAAAAGACTATTTAAAAAGGTAGGCTTAAAGAAGTCCAATGTGAATTTTGAAAATTTATTAGAAATTCAATATACTGGATTAACAGTAATGAAATATGTGTATGAAGAGAATTTGTAAACTGGCAGGCACAATTATTAGAATTTAAATCATAGAGTTTTAAAAAAGTGGAAATTATGAAGGATGAGATGAAATGAGAATATTGAGTACATATCTAAGTTTAGAAGGAAGAGTTTTAGAAGGAATCATGTAAGAGGCCAGAATATATATATATATGGATAGATATGAACATACACATACCTATGTATGTAGATACATATGTACATACACAAGTTAGATTTATCACAGAAATGCAAAAATATTTTCTCAATAGAAAACCTTTAAGGTAATTCACCATGGTAACAGATTAAAATAGAAAAAATAAAAAACCCATATGATTATAACAACAGATGCAGATAAATTGCTCTAATAATATTAAAAAGTATATCACATCATTTGAAGTATACTTGGTTGCAAGTAACAACCAACAATGTCATTTAATGGCAGCTCAAACAAATAGGAATTACTGTGGTCATATAAAGTCTAAAAGTTGAAGTTACTGGCTGTGGTTGGATTGTTCAAATATGTTGGGGTGAGCAGCTTTGCAAACTCTTGGACTTTCCCTTATGTTTGAAAGATACAGAGTAGAGAGAGGGACAATCAACAGCTTAAAAAGTACCAGATCCTTTTTTCTAGGTGGCTGCAAGCTTCTTTTTTATATAAAGGCAAGCTGAAAGAGAGAAGAAACCTAGATTTTAAATCAAATTTGGACATTTGTAATCGTACATGACTATATCTTTTAAACTGAAGTGAGACTGTTTCTGTGTCTTAAAGTTCTCAGAGTACCCATTTAATCATAGGATCTTTAAGAATTTTTCTCTTTCTGGTCTTGGAAGTAATAAACCGCACAGAGGATTTCAAGTGACATTAAAAGACAAAGTGAAATGGCTTCATGTTTACTATCACTAGTCATGCATTTTCAACATAGTGGTTAAGCAGTGGAAGTCAGTAACTTACAATTACATGTGTCAACATAAACGAATCCTGTAAACATGGAAATGTCAAGTGAAAAAATAGGAAGAATAAATAATTTGTATAGTATACAGTAGTAATATTTCTAAAATATTTTAAAATATTCCAAACTGTAATATATTTTGCTTTAGTGTTTTCTATACATGGAACAAGTGAGAAACAATAGATAGGAATAATGACCACTAAATTTTGGATAAAGGTTATATGGGTGGATGGGGGTATATTAGAGAAAGGAACATGAAGACTTCCACGTTTCATGTAATACTTTATTTCTTAAACTGAAGAGTGGGTGGGTACATGGGTATTCACAAAGTTATTCCTATTATCTTTTGTATATTTTATAAGTTTTTAGTAGAGCAAGGAACAAGTTTCCATACTGAAAAAAGCTGAGAGATTACTCGTTTTTTAATGAGTTGAAAAAAGATTTGCATTTAAGGAGGAAAATGAATGATAGATGAAAAAACTAGGCAATGGGGAAACTGAAGTAATTAAGAACCCCAGGAAGAACAAAACATCAGACAAGACAGGAAATGTAATTCTAATACTTATCATGGCTCATCTCTGAGTTATGTTAAAATAGTAATAATAATTTAAACACTGAATGCTGGTTTAATCAAAATTATACTTTGAAAGATGGATGGAGGAGAAGTGAGTGAGAACAGAAACATAGGAGAAGTACATCTCCATCTTCCATAATAGAAAGTCAATAGAAAATATAGGAAATGGAAACAAATCTTGATGTAGCAGAATAAACATGTTGCTTTAGAATTATGGGGTAAATACTTGAATCCTGTACCTAGCTCACTAGCTAAGAGATGAAAACCTTTGCTGTTATGAAGTAGGGTGAGGAGCGAGGAAGAGGAGGCTGCTGTTTTTTATTAAAGCCTTATAGAATCATTAGATAGTTTAAATAACATACATATAGCTGAAAAAAGCCCTAAAATTTTAATAGAATTAACCTTGCATATTTTGCTTAAATGAAACAGAAAATATCTCATTTCTCAACTCTTTACTATTGTATAAATATTCTAGGGTGCATTTAAATAATACTTCAGATATGCTGTATATGCCTTCTGGATATCTACCTTGTGAATAATTTACAGTGCTGTTCCCTGGATCAAGAAACAGAATAATTTTATAGAATAAATGTAGGCTGAGAACCAGTGGAATGTTTGATTCTATCCTCTCTGATTCTGCATTATATCATGCTGCCTCAATTCAAGCAGAACACTAAAGCTACAGTGGCAATTTTCAGGAAAATGTATCCACTTAGTACATTTACTGCCAGCTTTGCCAAAGACTGATTAAAATGACTGTAGAGTCTTTCTGCTAGTGATGGCTTCTGATTACAGGAACTTGCCACCAGCTGTACCCAAGAGCATGAGACCCAGTGGCCATCTCAGCAGGAGCCCTGACCCCACTGATGAGTGTTCCACTACAATCTCAGCACCTCTTCTTTTCCTACCTCAGCATCTAGAAGTTGGCAGAATGGGATGCGATATCCAACTGTTAATATACACTACAGTGAAGCATTTACTGAAAATGATTTGGTATCCTAGGGTCTAGGACTCCACTTTCACATCATATTTGAAGAAAAGAAAGAAAATTATTTTGTATTTTAACAATTGTGTGCCACATTTTACAATATTTAATTTTAGTTGAGAAACACCAGATGCCTGAAAACTACAAAGGAAATGTGGGAAATTAAGCAAACAGGTCAACAAATCACTCACCTTTAAGAATTGACCAGTTTCTACAAGGTAAGCAGGTAGAGTCCCAATAGGCGGGTAACCATTCAGGGTTTCTGAGAGTAACATAGCACCCAACCTCAGAATCCTTCTCCCCTCTTCCCAAAGAAGAAAAGAAACATAGAAATATAGGCCACCTGGTGGTGGCGTGATAAAGAGAGAGAGAGAGAAAGACTCTAGAATAGTAGCTGCCAGAAGGAACCAGGTAATGGCTTAATTTCAGAAATCGAATGATGATTTTTCAAAAGAAGTAATGAATCATTACATTATTTATGTCAATATCATGTCTTTGTACCACATATGCATATTCATGAAGGGGACCATACCAACCTATAGTTTGTTAAAATATAAACTAAGCCATACAAATAGGCAGCAGACTACTTTCCCTCCACCTTTTTGAAGGAATAGTTATTAAAGGATTAATGCAATATAATTTAGCATATCTCAGCATTATTTTAAATACATAGAAGGTCTAAACTTCATGATATTCTCCTAGGGAACTGAATAGTTGAATATTGAAGTAAGATAAGACAAGACTATATTCAATCAAGTTTCTAAGAATGATCATCTGAACTCCACATGATTTTGTTTACTGTAATGTATATGCCCCTTTGGTAAGCAGTAGCCTAGAGGAACTATCACTTATTTGGTTAAGTACCAGAAGTACCTGTCAAAATTTCCATTACAATAAATTGTACTAAAAGCTAATATTTAACATATGATTTTCCAACTTAAGAACACTACTTTTGCTTAAAACAGTGTATATAAATTTAAACACACTGCTTAAAAATACAGCCATGCATCACATAACAATTTTTATATATATATATATATATATATATATTTATTATACTTTAAGTTCTAGGGTACATGTGCACAATGTGCAGGTTTGTTACATATGTATACATGTGCCATGTTGGTGTGCTGCACCCATTAACTCATCATTTACATTAGGTATATCTCCCAATGCTATCCCTCCCCCCTCCCCCCACCCCACAATAGGCCCAGGTGTGTGATGTTCCCCTTCCTGTGTCCAAGTGTTCTCATTGTTCAATTCCCACCTATGAGTGAGAACATGCGGTGTTTGGTTTTTTGTCCTTGTGATAGTTTGCTGAGAATGATGGTTTCCAGCTTCATCCATGTCCCTACAAAGGACATGAACTCATCCTTTTTTATGGCTGCATAGTATTCCATGGTGTATATGTGCCACATTTTCTTAAGCCAGTCTATCATTGTTGGACATTTGTATTGGTTCCAAGTCTTTGCTATTGTGAGTAGTGCTGCAATAGACATACGTGTGCATGTCTTTATAGCAGCATGATTTATAATCCTTTGGGTATATACCCAGTAATGGAATGGCTGGGTGAAATGGTATTGCTAGTTCTAGATCCCTGAGGAATCGCCACACTGTCTTCCACATGGTTGAACTAGTTTACGGTCCCACCAACAGTGTAAAAGTGTTCCTATTTCTCTACATCCTCTCCAGCACCTGTTGTTTCCTGACTTTTTAATGATCGCCATTCTAACTGGTGTGAGATGATATCTCATTGTGGTTTTGATTTGCATTTCTCTGATGGCCAGTGATGATGAGCATTTTTTCATGTGTCTTTTGGCTGCATAAATGTCTTCTTTTGAGAAGTGTCTGTTCATATCCTTCACCCACTTGTTGATGGGGTTGTTTGCTTTTTTCTTGTAAATTTGTTTGAGTTCTTTGTAGATTCTGGATGTACAGAATCTTTGTACATCCTCCCTTTGTCAGATGAGTAGATTGCAAAAATTTTCTCCCATTTCTGTAGGTTGCCTGTTCACTCTGATGGTAGTTTCTTTTGCTGTGCAGAAGCTCTTTAGTTTAATTAGATCCCATTTGTCAATTTTGGCTTTTGTTGCCATTCCTTTTGGTGTTTTAGACATGAAGTCCCTGCCCATGCCTATGTCCTGAATGGTATTGCCTAGGTTTTCTTCTAGGGTTTTTATGGTTTTAGGTCTAAAATTTAAGTCTTTAATCCATCTCGAATTAATTTTTGTATGAGGTGTCAGGAAGGGATCCAGTTTCAGCTTTTTACATATGGCTAGCCAGTTTTCCCAGCACCATTTGTTAAATAGGGAATCCTTTCCCCATTTCTTGTTTTTGTCAGGTTTGTCAAAGATCAGATGGTTGTAGATGTGTGGTATTATTTCTGAGGGCTCTGTTCTGTTCCATTTGTCTATATCTCTGTTTTGGTACCAGTACCATGCTGTTTTGGTTACTGTAGCCTTGTAGTATAGTTTGAAGTCAGGTAGCGTGATGCCTCCAGCTTTGTTCTTTTGGCTTAGGATTGACTTGGCAATGTGGGCTCTTTTTTGGTTCCATCTGAACTTTAAAGTAGTTTTTTCCAATTCTGTGAAGAAAGTCATTGGTAGCTTGATGGGGATGGCATTGAATCTATAAATTACCTTGGGCAGTATGGCCATTTTCATGATATTGATTCTTCCTATCCATGAGCTTGGAATGTTCTTCCACTAACAAGACTAATAAAGAAGAAAAGAGAGAAGAATCAAATAGATGCAATAAAAAAAGATAAAGAGGATATCACCACTGATCCCACAGAAATACAAGCTACCATCAGAGAATACTGTAAACACTTCTACGCAAATAAACTAGAAAATCTAGAAGAAATGGATAAATTCCTTGACACATACACCCTCCCAAGACTAAACCAGGAAGAAGTTGAATCTCTGAATAGACCAATAACAGGCTCTGAAATTGAAGCAATAATTAATAGCTTGCCAACCAAAAAAATTCCGGGACCAGACAGATTCACAGCTGAATTCTACCAGAGGTACAAAGAGGAGATGATACCATCCCTTCTGAAACTATTCCAATCAATAGAAAAAGAGGGAATCCTCCCTAACTCATTTTATGAGGCCAGCATCATCCTGACACAAAAGCCTGACAGAGACACAACAAAAAAAGAGAATTTTAGACCAATATCCCTGATGAACATTGACGCAAAAATCCTCAGTAAAATACTGGCAAACTGAATCCAGCAGCACATCAAAAAGCTTATCCACCATGATCAAGTGGGTTTCATCTCTGGGATGCAAGTTTGGTTCAACATATGCAAATCAATAAATGTGAGTCATCACATAAACAGAACCAAAGACAAAAACCACATGATTATCTCAATAGATGCAGAAAAGGCCTTTGACAAAATTCAACAACCCTTCATGCTAAAAACTCTCAATAAATTAGGTATTGATGGGATGTATCTGAAAATAATAAGAGCTGTTTATGACAAACCCACAGCCAATATCATACTGAATGGGCAAAAACTGGAAGCATTCCCTTTGAAAACTGGCACAAGACAGGGATGCCCTCTCTCACCACTCCTATTCAACATAGTGTTGGAAGTTCTGGCCAGGGCAATCAGGCAGGAGAAAGAAATAAAGGGTATTCAATTAGGAAAAGAGGAAGTCAAATTGTTCCTGTTTGCAGATGACATGATTGTATATCTAGAAAACCCCATTGTCTCAGCCCAAAATCTCCTTAAGCTGATAAGCAACTTCAGCAAAGTCTCAGGATACAAAATCAATGTGCAAAAACCACAAGCATTCTTATACATCAATAACAGACAAACAGAGAGCCAAATCATGAGTGAAGTCCCATTCACAATTGCTTCAAAGAGAATAAAATACCTAGGAATCCAACTTACAAGGGATGTGAAGGACCTCTTCAAGGAGAACTACAAACCACTGCTCAACGAAGTAAAAGAGGACACAAACAAATGGAAGAACATTCCATGCTCATGGATAGGAAGAATAACAATGTTAAATGGTTACATGAGATAATTATAACATTATTTTTACTATACCTTTCGTATGTTTAGATACACAAATACTTACCATTGTGCTACAATTGCCTGTTGTATTTATTACAATGACATGCTGTTCATGTTTGTAGCCTAGGAGCAATAGGCTATACCATCTAGCCTGGGTGTGTAGTAGGCTACACCTTCTAGCTTTGTGTCAGTGCACTCTGATGCTATATTGTCCTCACAGTGACAAGATCACCTAAGGATATTCCTCAGACAGTATTCCTGTTAAGTGACATATGACTGTATATTCAAATTCCCTAACAAAATGTAATTTCTAAATATTTGTTTATTTTCACTAAAATTCAGTGTGCTATACTGGTTTAAAAATTATAACATTATCCAAAGAGAAAGTTACCTAATAGAATACTTATTTCAGTTAGTACACTGTCAATATTTTCCTATTTGAATCTTTATTGTAGCCAATTTTGATATAACCTCATTGTGAGACAGCTGCCTAAATCTCCATTCAGCTTTCATCCTAAGATTGGAACTTTTTTTATATTAAAAAAGTAACAGCCAAGTCAACTTATTTTCATAGATTTGCTAATGTGTGTAGATGTATATGGGTGTACATGACATGAGTTGAGTCATAAGACTATCTCCACTGATAACATTCCAATTAAGTAAAAGTAACTATCATTTGATAAACTATTTTACTTATACACAGGTTTTTAATATAACAGGATAATTTATAGTAAAGCAGACTTGTAAGATCCTGCATGGACTCTTTAATTAAATACAATTCTCATTAACAGTTTGACATAATGAAATGTCCTCATGTCTTTCTAGTTAGCTACACACACACACATGCAGGAACACATACACACACAGAGAGAAATTCCTTAATACCCAATTTAGTTAAACATTTGGCAGTTCACTGCAACCTCATACTATGTGGAAGAAATCCATGCATACATTCATTCATTCATTCATTCATTCATTCATTCATTCATCTATTCAGAGACTGTTTACTGAACACTAACACTGTCAGTGCTTTTGCTAGGTGACATAGTATATAAAGATAAATAAATCATAGATTGTGCTTTTATGAGGTACAAGGTCTAGTAGGAATAGGCATTTTAGCATATTTAGTCTAACAGGGATCCCCAGATTTCTCATGAGAAGGACCCACTCACAAGTATGCCTCACTGTTGATATGATATTTATTTGAATGGCTGAAGGCTGTTGCTAGGAAATTCCATGTCATGGTGTAAGGAAGGGGTCCGGTTTTAATTTTCTACGTATGGCTACCCAGTTATCCCTGCACCATTTGTTGAATAGGGAATCCTTTCCCCATTGCTTGTTTTTGTCAGGTTTGTCAAAGATTACGTAGTTGTAGGTGTGCGGTCTTATTTCTGGGTTCTCTATTCTGTTCTATTGGTTTATGTACCACATGTTCTCACTTATAAGTGGGAGCTAAATAATGAGAACACATGGACACATAGAGGGGAACAACACACACTAGGGCCTATCAGAGGGTGGAGGGCAGAAGGAGGGAGAGGATCTGAAAAATAACTAATGGGTACTAGGCTTAATACCTGGGTGATGAAATAATCTGTGCAACAGACCCCCATCGCACAAGTTTACCTATGTAACAAACCTCACACTTAACCCTGAACTTAAAATAAAAATTAAAAAAAAAAGGAAAGCCCATGTCCTGGAGATGTTCGATGATGGCTTTGAACTAAAGTCTCGTTTACGGAGAAAGTCAGATTATTGCTGCTATTCAGCAACCAAATAATTCAAATTCTATTGCAATACAATAGAACAATTTTATACTATTTAAAAATCATTTTCATTTGTACTTTTTGTAGTTGTTTTTTAAGTTCTTCACACAGAGTACTTAAAATTATAGTAGTCTTCCTACAGTGTTATTTTTGTGTCTTTTCTCTCCCGCTAAATGATGTCCTTCTAACACACAGAAGCCATGCTTTGTTCATATGTGTAGCTCAGACATATTGCATGGTACTCAGCACATGTTATGTGTTACCTTGTTATTTTCACATGCACCGGATCTGATTTGGTCACAGGATCTTGATGCATGAACTGGTGTATGTTTTCATATCTATAGGATTATTCAAAGCCTTTTTAAAATGCATCCACGTCAGAGCTTGATACTGACTTTTAACAGAGACCTAAGTCCTATACCAAAAACTTTTTTTCCCCCGTCACAACCCGGACAGTGAAAGCAGTATCCTCTTGCTAGGCAACCGCCTCCATCCTTCCCTAAGAGCACTCTGGACTTGACAATGCTATAGCAGCACTTTGTTCCATTGACTGTAGGCCTTAATGTCTACTTCTCCTGAAATAGAGCTAAACTGGCCAAGCTGGCCTTCTAAAGTCAGGTAAGGTCCTCACTTGGCAGTGTGCCTGGAGTTCAGGCTGACAGCCCCCAGTAATGTCGAGATAGGTCATCAGCAAAGCTGTTTCATCAAAATGAATTCTGGAAAGACTTATGCATTCTGTAAGACTCTTTTTATTAGAATAAAGATTTTACTTAAAGCAGCTTAATTATACCTGAGCTATAGAAAATGTTTATTTAGAGTTAGCCAACTTTTGGAAATTGCACCAAAATATAGACATGAAATACACATGATAAAGATTATTTGCAATAGGAAAATAACAAATGCTACTAAATGAAAATAAAGATGATAGGTACATAATGAGAAAACAACACTATACAGTAGTATGTTGTAATTCATATTATGAACACAATGTAAAAACATGAGAAATCCTTAGTATAGCACTAAATGAATAAAGCCACCAGGATGTCATCTAATAGAACTATACCTCATGTTGTTTCTTAATGCCTCTTCACTTAGGGACTTTCTAAATATCTGATTATGGCCTAGACACTGTCCTGAATACAACATTTGGTATTTTTCAAGGGTATGTTTTTAGGGGCTTCTGGGAAAGAGGGGCTGTAAATTTGAGTTTAAGAACCCATTCTTTAAGATGTATGTAGAGCTTAATTTTATCTACTTACGGATATTTGCATTTTAGAAGTAGATGGCTAGAGTGTAATTACTGTAAATGTCTGGATCATGAGCATAGGCTTCAGATATTAAAATATGAACAGAATAGAGAATATGACGTATCAAATTCTTTTTCAGACAATAAAGATGGTAGCAAATCCCTGGAGAATCACAGAGGGGATTTTTTTCGATAACTAACACAGAAAATAGTAGAATTGCTTCTACTTAATCCTGAGAATTCTGATGACACCTTTAGATTGTTCATATATCCCTGAAAAGTGAATTGAGCTCAATTTTGGATGAAATTATTATTTTAAAAATTTTACATAATATTTGTTTAACTCATGGCAGCATCTCTCAGAAGGGTCTCACTAAACAAAAGTGATTAATAAACCTCGATCCTAACAGGAATCACATGTGGGTAAGCTTTCACTCTGGCAACACTAATTAGTATCAAAACAATCTTTACCTCTGTTGGTAT
Organism: Homo sapiens; assembly: GCF_000001405.40. Lineage (NCBI taxonomy): Eukaryota > Metazoa > Chordata > Mammalia > Primates > Hominidae > Homo > Homo sapiens. The sequence goes on along the minus strand of NC_000006.12, from coordinate 103,997,130 downwards.
TTGAGCTCTATTTCTTACCAACATATCACATTTGATTTGCAATATATAGATGCCAAAATGCAAATAATAATCTTTTTCTCAACTATCAATCTTAATAAATTAAATTTTGAAGATGTAATGATTCCTCAAGTTGAGTGTGACAAAACATAGTATCCTAAATTCTACTGATAAATGCTAACTGCGGTTGAAAAGGGGCATTCACTCCCAGATCTTTCTAGAATCACAGAACCTCTGGGATAAGATGGGATTATCTAATTAGTTTCCTGCCTCCAGAAAGTTAATTTATTACATTGCAGATAAAGAATATTTGTCTGACTGTAAGGATTAACAGGTAGGAGATTCTCAACTGTGGCTCAATATTAATCCATTTGAGGACTTCAGGTCATTCTTTTTCATTTGTTCCCTGTTTTAAGGCAATTCATGCCCTTATAGGTCATTTTTACCACTTGAAAAGTTTTATAATAGATAGTATCATATATCATCATGCATAGTTGCCCTTTTAAAGTAAAAATAAAGACCATATAATGCAATTCATGGAGAAAGGTTAGTATTTTCTACTCATGTGCTGAAACAACTAAATATTCCCATGTAAAACAATGAACTTGCATCAGTATCTTGTGCTGCATCCAGTAATTTACCAAAAACTGGACCATAGACCTAAATGTGTCACCTAAAACAAACATTTCTAGACTAAAACATAGGAGAGAATCTGTGTCCTTTGGTTAAGCAAAGATTTCTTAGAAACAACATTGAAAGCATGATGCATAAAATAAAATATTGAAATTGGTTCCAGAAAAAGTAAGAACCTCTGTACTTCAAGACACTACTAAGAGGATGAAAAGTCAGGCCACATTTGCAAGTTACATATTTGATAAAAAGACTTGCATATAGAATATATGAAGAACAGACAGCCAAATTAAATATAGGCAAAAATATTTTACAGACACTTCAGAAAGAAGATATGCAGACGGCAAATAAACACATGATAAAACTACTGAACATCATTATTTATTGGGAAACTACAAATTAAACCCACAGTGAAATATCAGTTAGAGTGTTAAAAATTTTAAAAGACTGACCATACTAACTATTGGCAAGGATGTAAACCAACTAGAATTCTCATATACTTATGTTCATAATACAAATGGTATACCTTTATGAAAAGAGTTCGACAGTATTTTTTTAAGGGATAAATATACCTCTACAAAATGAATCAGCCATTTCACTCCTCTAAGTATTTACCCAGGAGAAATGAAAGCATATATTTATATAAAGACTTCTTAAGGAATGTTCATAACAGCTTTGTTTGTAATTAACAACAACTGGAAATAACCCAAATAAATTCAGGTGAAGGGATAGACAAATTGTGGTATATCAATACAATGAAATACTACTCAGCAGTAAAAAATTATTGAAGCACCTAATAATATGGATGAAACTCAGTATAAGTTTTGCTTAAAGGCAAACAGAAATGAGCATATATTGCATGATTCTATTTTTATAAATTTCTGGCAAGTAAAAACAACTTTATAATGGCAGGAAGTATATCACATATTGCTTAGGGACAGAGGGTAGAGGGCATGTGTGTAGGGAAGATCAGAAATAGGAATTTCAAAGAGCATGAAGAAATTTTGAGGGCAATATATATGTTCCTTATCTTAATTGTGGTAATAATTTCATGGTGTATACGTTTGTCAAAACTCATCAAGTTGTCCATTTGGGAATATGTGATGTTTATTCTATATCAGGTGCACCTCAATAAAGCTGTTTAGAAAATCATGTCAGCTTACATATCTGGTATATTTAGTAACTAAGCCCTTTGTGTGGCCTTCTTCCCTGCTAACCATCCCTTGGCTTATTTCTAATGTAATTTGGAAGTGTTAATGATTTAATGAAAATTCAGTATCTTGGGATGCACAGACCCTGAAGCTGGCATAACTGCTGATAATGTCAACGATTTCAACAATAACTAACATCAAAGCTGAAACTGGTGACAGTAGAAGAGGAAAGTGTTCACATATTTTAAGTATAAATTTTTATACCAAAAATGTCATTTAATTCTATTATTTCAACTATGAAATAAGCACAGATTTATGCACATATATTGTGACACTCACAGTCAGTTGTCTGCCAAACTTTTTCACCTAAATGCTATGGGTAAACTCAGCATTCACAACCACTTTCCTTCCCCTAAAAATTTTTCCTTCCTCTTGTTTTACTTAGCTGAGAAAATGGTAGGACAATTTACCTCGTTGTCCATCTCTATAACTTGACCACCTTTCTTAATTTTTTCGTAAACTTATTGTTTCCATAGATATAATCAGCCACCATGACACATTGATTCCATCTCCTGCTTATTTCTAGAATCCCTCTGCAAATGACCATTCCCATGTTATTGGTGTTATGCAGAAGCTCAGTTTTCTATTCTGGATTACAGAAATGGCTTTTCATATTCTTTGTTGAACAAACTAACACATCATTGTTGCAGGAAAAGAAATATGAATGGAAATTATGGTGCATAATTTTTCTTTCATAATTCTACCACCCAATTCCTTTCCTTTACTCCATATGTTTTGTTGAAGTAATATGGAAGTGAACAATGTAATACTATATAAACTAGTAGGTAGAAAATTCCTCTTAAACCACTACCAAGTCCACACTACTGATGTAGGTACTGTATAGTGAACACTCAGACCTTTTGCTTTCCTTTCCTTTGTTTGCCTGTGCCCTTGCCCTTCTTTTCCCTCCTTTTCTCTTGGGTGATATTAATTTTCTTTCAAGCAGACTGCTATGAATAGCTTTGCACATTTATCTCATAAGTGCTTTCCAGTGTACTTCAATAGAATTATCAAAAGTACAATTCCAATGTGCTGCAAACTGTCTTAAACAGAAGTAGCTGTTTACAGATATTGAAACTTTTTGTTAGGAATAATTGGCCACATTTTTCACATGCATTCATGGAACATTTACAAAAGCTGACCATGTGCTAGGCCATAAATAGGGTCACAAAAATGTCAAAGATTTGGTTTAATATAATTTAGGGTTATACTACAATGCAATAAAATTAGGAATCTATTTTAGAAGAAAGTGTAAAATAAATACCTTCTAAATAATATCAAATAAAATGTAACAGAAAAAGGAACATATTTGGGACTCCGTGACAGCGAATAACTGTCACTGATAACAAAACTTTAGAAAAGTATCTAATGTAATAACTAGATAAAAATATATTGCTTTAAACGTTTCCATAAGGAAAGAAGAAAAACTGAAAATTAATGAGCTAAGTTTTCCCCAAAGTTAGAAAAAAGACACAGTAAGCCAAATAAAGTGAAAAGAGAAAATATAACTGTGTGTATGTATATTTATGTAAAATAAACAAATTCAAGAAAATGACAAATATTACATTAATGATAGTGGTTACCTGTGTGTAGAAGAGGATAAAATATATTTGGCAACATATACGGGGGTTTAAACTGAATTGGTCATGTTTTATTCTTAACATGGGTAGTGCATATGTGTAACCTTGCATTATTTTTTGCTTTCTATGTATCTGAATATTTTATAATAAAATTTAAAAAGTTTACCTACCAATTTTCCTAATTAGTAATTTTCTCAATACTTATTTATCTTTAGTGAAAATTTCTTTGGATTTCAAAATATCATTTGTTCAAATTAGTAGTCTAGATATTTTCTCCTTAGTCATTATTGTTTTTCAAAAGACATCAATTTCATTATTTAGCATCATATCTAGAATATCTAAGAGGAATTGCTATAGTTTTAAGAAATAAATATCCAGTATATCCAGTTAAAGCTTTTTTATTAGTAGTTGTATACATTTAAGGGGTGCAAGTGCAGTTTTTATATATGTGTATATCATGTAAAGGTGAAGTTTGGGCTTTTAGCCTAACCATCACACAAATAATGTACATTCTACCATTAAGTAATTCAAGTTCTTAAAGTTAGCTTTACTTATCCTTTTAACCTTTTAACCTTTTTTATCATTATTATATCTGCTCTAGATCACGTTTTCTGTTCTTTATGAAAAAATAATAAAATGTTACTGTTAAAGGGACTGATTTGTAATAACCATAAAGACAAATCAAGCACAATTAAGTGCATATAATTGACACTGATTGTAATAAATGGTTATATAAAATTATTTTAGCATACATATTATATAATGTGACATAAGCTATTCTTTTTTTTCTTTCTCTCTTTTGGACGTTAATTTTCAGTTAGTCATTGGCTTACATCTTATCTCCCACTGTAATGGTAGAAATTAATAGGATAAAAGTACTCTATTCAAAGACAAATTATCTTTTCACTGATATACTTCAGTAAGTGCAAATTCCCTCTGCACTTACTAAAAGGCTTAGAATAGTAGAAAAGTGCTAGTTAACTGAAATTGTGCTTCCTTTCTTAGACCATAAAACTTTCGTTTATTTCATCTGTTAAACCTTTTTGTAAATACAGAAATTTTGAAGCTATTTGGTATTACGTGATACATATTTTGGCATTGTTGCTATTCTGGATTTCTTCCTTGGTACTTTAATTTTGTGGTTCAGTGAGCAAAACTAAGTGTTCTGCAGGAGGACTCGTACTTAAAACAGTCAGGGGCGTACTGCCTGATGAGACATTCAATCTTTTCCCTTGATGAGGGTGTCCAGTCAGAAAAGCCCTTTTGTTTTTAAACCCAGGAAAGGTTTTAGAGAAAATTACCATCCAAACAGTAAAAAGCAACTCAGGATTTTGCAATTACATATAGCGTCACAATCAAATACGTGTTAGGTAAATGTGTTGGGAAACTTGATTGTAATGATAAAATAGAGATTTTTGTTTTCATCATTTAACTTTGCCAATTCAAACAGAATAATGTTATGGAATTCCATGTCAGAGAATAAGTTAACAATGACATATTTTATGCTATTAAGTCCTCAAAACAACTAAATAAAGTAGGTCTTAGTAATTTTCATGTTTAGATGAGAAACTTGAGCATTAGGAAAGTGGGCTAATATCTCCAGTGACACATAGATGTTAAGAGGTGCATTTGGGATTCAAACTCATGTCTTTCTGATCCACAAGTCCTATAATAAAACAAATATTCTAATACAGTAAGACAGAATTTATAATTCAATTAATCAAAAATATTTATTAAGTGAGTAGTATTTGGGAGGTAGCATTCCTGGTAGAGAAGTAGATATAAATAATAAACTCCTAAATAATAAACTACTATTCTTACTACAATTCTTTAGTTTTTGTTACCATAAATTAGTTGTCCCAGATATTTTCTTAGCTATCCCCAGGCCAGCTTTTCATACAGGATTTTTTCTGGACCACGTTAGAGAAATATTTTCTTTACAAATACAAACTGAAATTACATTAACCAATAAAGTTATATTATTAAAACATACAATCAAGACTAAATATACAGCATAACAGAATATACAGTGATATTACAAGTAATATCTTACAAATTGAAAATGTATTAACCAATACATTATAAATATATAAATTATATATCACATAATTATGAACTAATAAATTATACTAACCAGTCTACAAATAGAAATTATATTACCCAATAAAATTGTTATTAAAACATATAATCAAGACTAAATACAGAATATAACAGAGTACACAGTAATATTACAAGTAATAACTTATAATAACTTATTTTTACATTTTGATTTTGACTTTTAGAATTTCAAATGTCTAAACATAGATTCTCACATATTGAATTGGTTGTTTTAATGATATATTTTAAGAGCTTGTCTGGCAATATCTTATTTATTAATTATTTTCAAGTTATTATCTGTGATTTGTTACTTAAAAATGGAGTTTACCGTTACTTACTAATGGAGTTTAGAGAGTGCGTGTGATTTCTGTTGGACTCTTCCTATTCCAGCCCAAACTCAGATGTCCACTTTTTTGGATTAGTTTCTGGATAGCTAGATAAAGAGAAACATTTTGTGTCCCAAACCCACTGACAAATAGACCTAGAAAAATGTGGCTGATTCCATTCCTAATGTCCTAGTTTCTATTATCATCTATTCTGCAGATTCTGGTCAACTGACTTTACTAGCTGTTATTTATTTTCTTTCTTTCAGGTTCTTATAACACAGATTTTGTTTTTTCTTGACTAGCTGAAGCCGGATTTCTGTGGAGCACCACCCTCCCCACTGTGCTCTGCTGCACTTGAGTCCTGACTTTCTCCTAGTTCCTTCCAGTTCCTTTCAATGAGGGGGCTTCTCTTAGTCTATTTTGTACTTCTATAACAGAATACCACAGACTGAGTAATTTATAATAAGCAGAAAGTTATTGGCTCATAGTTTTAGGGGCTAGGAAGTCCATTATCAAGGTGCTGGCCTCTGGCAAGGGCCTTCTTGTCTTGTCATCACATATGGAAGGCTGAAGAGCAAAAAGGGAGAGGGCAAGAGGGGGCAGAACTTGCCTTTTCATAACAGCTTTAATTCCACCCATGAAGGTGGAGCCCTCATGACTTAATCACCTTTTAAAAGTCCACTCTTTTAATATTGTTACAATGGCAATTAAATTTCAACATGACCTTTGGTAGTGGATACATATTCAAACGGTAGTGGGAATTCTCCTCAAAGACTTTAGCTCATCTTGAAAATCTTTCCCTCCTAAAAATTTAGGCAATGCTTACGTCGGGACTGCCACCACCTAGAAGACAGGACTCTCTGTGCCACATGAATACATTTCCTTCTAGATCTACCCTACAAAAATCCTAGCTTGGTTGCATATTATTCCTTTCAATTAGAGGAATAGCCACTTATAAGGAATCGTATCATTTGTTATCAGTTAAAAAATAATGTGTAGATTGGAATTATTTCAAGAAAAATAGCTTAAACATTCCCAAACTAACTTACTGATAGCTGAAGGGAAGGGAGAACTTTGTGACTTATTCTCTTTACCTAATTACACCAAAAGTTTCCTGATTGGCCATGAAAAAAGCAGAGAGAAAATCAGAAAAATAGTTTGTTTAGTGGTAGCTGAAAAGTAAAGAGGAAGCAATTTTCTGTCCCTCTGCCAGATTAGAGAACATTCTAATTTGAGAAAGAAGTCCTAAATACCTAATTAACAGGTCATATCCTAAAAATTGTGCCTATCCTAGGCACAATACAAATGGAAATGCTTAACTGAGCAGAAGCATAGAGAAGCAGACAAAATGTCCCTCAATACTTCTGGGCATCTGTTTTTTAATCTGTAAAATAAATGGATTGAATAAAATATCTGTAAAATAACTTTCCACTTAAATAACTTATAATGAATACCCTGTCCAGGAGACCATCTGAAATCTGGGCTCTCAGAGGCAGATCACTATAAGGCCTTATATTTATTTAAAAGAATGTGTTTATAGGCCAGGCACAGTGGCTCATGCCTGTAATCCCAGCAGTTTGGGAGGCTGAGGCAGGCAGATCGTGAGGTCAGCAGTTCAAGACCAGCCTGGACAACATGGTGAAACTCCATCTCTACTAAAAATACAAAAATTTGCCAGGCGTGGTGGCGGGTGCCTGTAATCCCAGCTACTTGGGAGGCTGAGGCAGGAGAATCGCTTGAACCTGGGAGGCGGAGGTTACAGTGAGCCGAGACCATGCCATTGCACTCCAGCCTGGGCAACAGAGGGAGACTCCATCTCAAAAAAAAAAAAAAAAAAAAGAATGTGTTTATAGAGATTAATATTAGTTACCTGGCAAATTTATGTCTATCTCTACCTCTAATGCCTATATTTCTATGCCTATCTCTAATCTATATCTCTACTTCCATTAAGCAGTAGGTGTTATGCTTATTTTTGAAATTTACCTATTGGAAAACACTGTCTACTCTGAAAGATACTAAGTACATAGAACCATTAATAATCTTTCTTCTAATACATTTATGTGTATGTGGAGTGGTTATTGGGATTATGGAATATTTAATGTTTAATTCGGTGGTACTGTCTGAGGATGTCAGCTATGAAAGGAATAGAACACAGTATAATTGTGTTCAGAAAAGAATAAGATAATTTCTGACAAAAGAGAATGTTACAATCAGAATGCAGCTGAATTTCCACAGGTAAGATGAATGAGATGAGATTACAGAGAAAAATAAGGGTAAGAGCAAAGGCCCAGAGGCTAAAAGGCAAGGGATATATTCAAAGGAGGGTAAATAGTTCCGTTTGACTCAAGTAAAGTATTAAAGCAAAATATGAACCTGAATATCAGAGCAAATTGAAAGAATGATAGATATTAGTTTTATTTGGTTGGCACTGGGAAGCAATTGAAGGATTTTAATGGAGAAAATTTATGTTGTTTATAAAACATGGCTAACAACAATAGATTGGAAAAGGTGCTGAATACAGGAGTGAAAAAAATGTTTAGAAACTATTATTTAGTCAAAAGTCAAATAGTATCAGAAAAGAGAAAGGGAGAATCACTTAGACCTAGTGACTCGTTGCATAATAGAACGTAGGGAAGAAACATGATTCTAAAATGGCTGTAAGAATAGTGCACCTTTGAATAAAATAGCGGGGAAAAAGCGATCCTGCAGCAAAGACAAGCACAGTGTTGAACTTGCAAGACTTGACTTAAAGAGATTTTGCTCAGAAATATTCTAGATTCATTTGCAAAGAGATAAATATTGAATAGGACATTCCTTGTTTGTTGTTGTTGCTTGTTATTTTAGTTTACAACATTTTGGGTGATAAGACTAATTTTATGTTAAATAAGCAAACTGAAGCTCAGGTGGGTCACATGACCTGTTACACAGCCAGTCAGTGACAACACCAAGACACACACCTTGTTTCAAGCATAAGGTGTAATATAGGCTTTCTGAAGCTTTTGTTAGAGAAACAGAAATTGAGAGAATAATACTCTAAGGATTTTGTTGGTTTGCATGTTTGTGTTAACACTAAAAAGGGAGAACATGACACCAAGTGAAAGTAAGTTTTGTCTGCTGATGAGCCAGGGTTTGTGAAGAGACCCAGGGTTTGTGAGGAGACTAATAAGAAATGCAACCAAAGAACAAATTTGCTTAGCTTAGGAAAAGAAAAGAACTATTCTTCCTTTGAGACTGAAAGGAAATCATAGCGATGAAGTCATTGGGGTATAACACAAGAAACTGGGGCGCTTTGGTTATGAGTGGAAGATGTAGAAATTTTATGGAGTAACGGGTTGAACATATAAATTTTTGAGAAAAAGCAGAAGACCAGGTGAGGATAAATAGCATAACTATATAGTGATATCAACCATTGAGTTTCATGACTTTCTAAAGCAACGATTAAAATCCAAGAGGCCATATTTACTTAATGAATATCTCATAAGTAAAGTAGTATTAAGTTACCTATAAATTAAAACTGGTATATTCTGGTGAAAATTAGTTTTACATTGTAAAACGTAACGTGTTATTTGCAGATGGCCAATTAAGACTGTCATTTTTCTCTATACTTTTCCTTAGAAGTTTTTCTTCTTATAGTCTGACTGCAGCTCTGATACTTACTCACTGGAAGGTTGTTCCAAAATGACCTCCCTCAATAATCCATGCACACCTTTACTTCTCTTAGTTAGCAATGTAAAACAATAGAATAAACAGAAACATAATGATGAATATAAACACTTTTAATAAACTACATTTTTAATGAAATTCAGACATTATTTATTCATCATGAAATGGTACTTAGATGTACAAAACAGCACTAGAACAAAGTATGAGGTGTAAGACATCAAATTATAAGTTACAGAAGGGATAAGTCACATTATATGACAGTGGTCAAGAAAAGTTTAAAGGAGAATACCTTTTGGCTTTAGAAATACATAGAATAAGAAATTATTAGCAAATTAGAGGTGGGAGAGATATATCTCTAGAACAATGCATAAACTAATTTGAAAAATGTTTATATAAGTAAAATGAATATTGCTGGAAAAATTGGTTGGCATTAGATTGTAGAGACTAATATTATTCATAAAATGAAGACAATAAATGTTAAGCAATGTTTGATGTATTCCAATTGGGGTGTTTGGATGATTGCTTTGGAATGGGAAGAGAATAGAGAAGAAGAGAACAGATGGAAGATATCATGATTCAGGTTCACATGAAATATCAACTGATCTGATCAGGCCAATGGCCTGACCAGGGAACTGAAAGAAAATGGGGAAAAATCATGTAAAAGAGATTTAAAAGAGAAAAAGAATTTTCTATTCATGAAGAAAATCATAAATAATGGCATGGGGGAATTAAAGTGATTGGTATATTTGAACAAGCATGCTGATATAAATAGAGTGTAGGTGAAGTGGCTGGAAATGAAGTTGGAAGAGGTAGTCAAAGCTAACATGCAAAAAGGTTATGTTAACTAACTTGAAATTTATCTTGCAGAAAATGGAGATTCAGTAAAGTTGTCTTAAGTAGAAGAATAGACAGAAGTAAGATTAAAGGAAAGTTTTGCAGCAGCACCAGCAGAGTACATACACTAAAGCATAAAGTTTGATCTGTATTTGGGAGATCATTCTGGAGGATGAAATCAAGAGCGCAAAAGAATAGAGGTTGTAGGGTAAAGGACTGTGATAAGAAGAGTGAAATATAACTGGTAAATTTTCTAGCGGTAGAAATTAAGATGCAGAATGTGGCCACCTGAGAAGTTAGATAAGTGAAAAGAATTGCTAAAGAATTTAAGAATTTATGATATACAGAATATATGATATGTGGTGAATAGTTTATAAGCATAGCCATTTTTGTTACCTCCCATTGTGGCAAAAATGACTGGGTGTCAGTGGATGGTGAACAAAATGGTTGAAAAATGTGGGATAGATGACCAGAGGAGGATGAGTTATTAAAGGAAGCTTTCAGAAGAATGGGCTGGAAATTGGCAACGGGGATCCAGGAGAATGCTGGATCTGATAAATGGGGTGTGGAGAAAATGAGAATCCTTTTAGAAGGATGTGAGGAAGGCGATATTATCAGAAATATGTCAAGAAGTGGACAGAGAATTTTAGCAGATGGTTACACCTGTAGAGGGATTTCTTGGCAATGCAAAATGAGAAAATCCTGAAGGCAATGAATCCTTTACCCATTTTTAAAAGGCATATTCCAAAACACATTTTGGTTCCAATTTCAGAGCCTAACAGATCCTCCGCCTCATACTTCAGATAACACCAGACACTCTAGAAAGAAGGGTTGGAAGATCAGCAGGTGAAGAGTTGGGCTGATTTGGAGGTAATCTGAGGAAAGTTAAGCAGGAGGGTGGAAGGACACCTGGAGGGTGGAGGGACAAATACAAATTTACAAATAATAGGCTTAATAAGATTTCCACCCCCTCCTTTTTCTCAGAGCATTTACTTTAGAAACGTTGTAAGTACTTTCCTCTCTCTTTGAAAATGTATATAAAACATTTTGAAGATGGCTTTTGTCAGCTTTGTGACCCAGTAGACCTGGGAACCAGCTCTTTGAAATGTAACTCCTGTCTCAGTTTCTGGGGGAGGATAGGATCCCAACTTCTGTGAGTGCATTGCTCTAAGTTGCAAAACTACCCAGGTCATAAAGATATGAGAAGTTTGTTTTTCCTCTGGATAAAGTCAATTAGCTAACATAGATGGTCACCCCAACTACCAGGTAAAGTTAGCATAAACTATGTGTCACAAATGGCACTGTCAGGCCTTCTTACTTGAGCACCAGTTATTATTTATCTTGAACACTTGTATGTAATGGGTTGTATGTACTTGACTATATAAAAAGGTGAATTTCTTTCTTCTTTGTAATCATGTAGTGGATTGCCTGTGATGCATATATCGCATTCTGGCTTAATGCTCATTCAATAACAAAAGTGTTTTTTCTCTCTGCTGCCTTTGTGGAGAGGATTTCTGGGTTGGGAGATTTTGTTTGTAATTATATTTCTCCAATAAGGATTGGGTAGGGATTGTTCATCAAAAGGACCTTAATGTAACTAACATACATCAAATCTCTAATTATTATTTTGGGTAATATTGTTACAGGAATTCTCTGTAACTTTCTTATCTAGGTATCTTGTCAGCAGTTGATAATTGTGACCCATGGAACTTGATTCAAGCATATGCATAGGTGGTAGCTGGACAAGGTTACTTCGAAGTTTCTTTGAGCACAAAGAGTCTATGATTTTCTCACGGTATAAGAAAGCCTGATTCAATCAACTTCTCCTATGCATTCATTAACACATTATGTACAAAATCTATTTATTAATGATTACTTTTGCATCAATAAATATTACTGTTGCTTATAGTAGTTCACTCTTATCTGAGGTTTCTTTTTCCACAGTTTCAGTTACCCATGCTCATTCCTGGTCTAAAATGTTAAAAAGAAAATTCCAGAAATAAACAATTTATAAGCTTGTTTGTTTGTTTTAGACAACATTTTAGAGGGTTTATTTCCTATCTCCCTAGAACTATATCCTTTAATCCACACTTGGGGATAATTGATGGCATTGTTCAGGAAGGTAGCTCAAATGGGTTGAAGCTGTCATTGTTTATCCAGGAAGATAGACAAGACACCAATTTTTTTTTGTTGTTGTTTTTTAATGCTGGGTTCCAGGGAACCAGCTCCTGCTGAATGGGGCCTGATAGAAATTCCAGATAGAACTCTCATGGATTCTGCTGAACCATAAAGTGCCACTTAACAGACAATTTGCACAGTCTGTTAACTGCTCCCATTAACTAAACTTCTTTTTTAGCTGTTGCAACTTTATCTCATCAAACTCTTATCTTCTTACTACACAGAGCAGCATTTTAAATGATACATTTTAGGAAAGAAGGAGGAGAGAAGGCGTTTCATGAATAACTGAAACCGGACAACAGCTAGGAAGATGCCTATCTGTTTCATGGCAATGGAGATCCAAACCCTGAATCTTGACTTATTCTAGGTCTGTCTGATCCTTTTCACCTATTTAGGACCTCTTACCACTGTCATATATTTGCAAAGTGACCCATGGTTCTTTTTCCAGGTGTCACTGTGAATGTCAAAACTTTTAAATTGCATGACCTTCTGAGTAGCGAGATGAAATCTCATGCAATCTTGCGCGGGAAGTGAATCATTCCTTTGTCCAGCCTGCTCACACTGTATGTATGACCTGCCCGCGTTAGTCACTTAGTTGTCATCTCCATCATCAGATAGAAAAAACATAGCATATATAGCGTTTGGTGCTATCTGAGGTTTCAGGGATCCACTGGGGATCTTGGATCCCTGTAGATAAGAGGGGATTATTGCACTAATACTTTAGGCCTAGTTTACATTTAGGATAACACAGGTAACATTTTTCTGTGTGTGCACCAGGTATCAAAAAAGAGATGGGGCAAGTTTTACATTTTGACTTTTGGTTACTGATTAAATCCCCTCCCAAATATTTTCATTGCCTATTTTGTCTCTCCTTGTAGTGTTTCTCTTCTTCCCCCTACCCTCCCCTTTTTTTTTTCTCTTGGAGTCTTTTCATTTCCCAATAATTTGTTACCTATCAAAAGAATGCTGGCATATTTCTTATATATATAGTTCCTTGGAAATTCATGCTAGTGTCTTTGCTTCCTTCTGGTTAGGGCTCCAGTTTCATTCTAATCACTATAACCTCTTTGGCATCATTCATTTTCTTAGAAGTCTCTCTATATGCATGCCAAACTAATGAGAAATACTTTCTCGATCTCTGTTAGCATGCATAAAATTCCTTAGTTCTTCTCCTCTTGTCCTCAAACATAGTTTCTGTTTATCTGGGCCTCCTGAGTTCTGGTAGACTCAGCAGCAATCCCTGACAAGGTAGGTACTGTGGAAAGCCTACTTGTTAAATAAAGAATTCCATGCCTCACGCCATCCTGCCCAGATGAACCACTATTTAATCTTCATTTGTTATTGGGTTGACAGCACTAAACAAAGAGTTCCTGCTTCACGAGATAGCTCTTAAAAATCATCTTAATTGACTGCTTTTGATACTGCACAGTAACTACATCCCCCAGACAAACTACTGGAGATGGAAGGATTACAATGAGAGTAGAACAGGAAATGTTTGCCGCCAGAACAATGAACATAATGAATGAAATATGGGACGGGTGCTGAAAGGCTTTTAGGTTATATCTTTTTGCGCTCAGAAAGATCTCTTGTTCATTTTCCACCTCTGGTTTAAGAAGGCAAAAAACAGTGGCCTCTTAACACTGTTTTTTGAGATGACCTTTCTGTCTTCAGTGTCTGGATAGAAAAATATAGCTCCCTGGAGCTAGAATCAAAAAAAAAAAAAAAAAAAAAAAAAAGCAGTAAAGCCCCCAGGCAGATAAGGCCTTGGACCATTATTTCCAGAAAGAATATAAACGGAAGTTCCAGAAATAACGTAAAGTCAGACATCATGAACTATTCATCACATCTGATTTAATGGGATCATTATAACTGGCATTCAGCATGCGTTAATAGCATCTAAGACACAGACGCTTTTTTTTTTTGACTGTTGAATGAATAATGGTTCATGATTTAGGTTTTCTTAATGACTCCTTAATATCAACTCTTTTGGCAAGAAAAGCTGGTCAGATGTATGACATTTATTTTATATTAGCAGCATGGAAAATGTGCATGTTTGTAATCAAGGTAGATTTTTACATTACATCTCTAATGATTTCTTATGAAAAGTAGATGGTTACAAGGAGTGCATCTCCAGCTTAAGTATCAAATGGCAGCGTATTAGCCAGTGATAGGAGAAAAAAATACAGATACTAAGATGGTATTGCAGATTTATAAAGCAAGCAAAAATCTTATACTTTTCAGAGTTCATCACTTTATAGAAACTTTTACAAGCTACAAATTCATGGGCCAGTATTTTTCTTCTGTTTGCAAGAAATCATGTTGTACAAAAAGAGCAGAGAGAAGCCATTCTTTTGTTCCACTGTCACCTATGACTTTCCCTAAAGGTATATTCTCTGTACTTTCTGGTGTGACATAAGAAGAAGACACACCATTTCCTTTGATATCTAGCCTTAAGGAAATTTCTAGATGAGCAATAATGTTGTGTCCCATCCCCTAAAGTTTTCCTGAGCCTCCTGATCTGGGATCCTATTAATTATAAGCCTCAATTTGTTGCTGACGTCAAAGGGACCTTCATGTACAGAAAGGCTCAGAGTGACATGACAAATAATCGACCAGACCAACAGAAGGGCTGGCTGGCACTTTTGCTGACAAGGTGTATTAGTTCGTTTTTATGCTGCTGATAAAGACATACCCGAGACCAGGCAATTTACAAAAGAAAGATTTAATTGGACTTACAGTTCCACATGGCTGAGGAGGCCTCACAATCATGGTGGAAGGCAAAGAGGAGTAAGTCACATCTTACATGGATGGCAGAAGGCAAAAAAAAAAAAAAAAAAAAAACTTGTTCAGGGAAACTCTGTCTTATAAAGCCATCAGATCTCATGAGAGTTATTCACTATCACGAAAACAGTGCAGGAAAGACCCACCCCCATAATTTGATCACCTCCCACCGGGTCCCTCCCACAACATGTGGGAATTCAAGATGAGATTTGGGTGGGGACACATCCAAACCATATCACATGGTGTGTATTGTTGATATAGGCGAGAGTTACTATGACAATATAGAATAATGAAATCTATGTAATTGGAAAAGGAACTAATTTAAACATTGTGTTCCACTCCCCAGCTCAAATTGTAAAACACAGACACATCTACTTTTGAATGCTTCAATTAAATGTTTTGGACTGCCATATAGCTTCTGTTGAAAATACTCCCTTTTCTTCCCTCTCGTCATTCCTCTTATGATAATCTTGAGTCCTCCAGGGTTTTTACAACTATCTTTTGGATGTATTATACAAATTTGCACTCTTGCTCCCCAGTATTTCCAACTCTGTATTTCAGTGGCTTCTACCAGAGAAAAAGGAACATTACCTTAGTATTTCCGTGTTGGAAGGGATCAGCTCATTTTCCCCGTGTCTCTTTTCTCTCAAAACTTTCTGCGTGTTTCTTGCTGGCTCCTTTTTCCAGCCCACATTTTCACTAGCTGTAACCAAGGTA
The DNA here is from genome assembly GCF_000001405.40 of Homo sapiens. Lineage (NCBI taxonomy): Eukaryota > Metazoa > Chordata > Mammalia > Primates > Hominidae > Homo > Homo sapiens. The sequence continues at coordinate 103,981,116 of NC_000006.12, read as the reverse complement.
CATATATGCTTTCCAAAAGGAGACCCCTTTCATTACTTTGACCTCACAGTCAAAGTAATCCCATGATTAGCATAGCTTTTACATCCTGTCCCCCTGCAATGACCCTGCTATGGATGTATGGATCTAGGCTGTTGTTCAGTATTGCAGTTATGATCATCAATTTTATATGTAATCTCACTTGATTTCTTTCTATTGACTGTAAAATATTTATTAGTAATTATTCCCTTGAGTACTTTACAGATGAGCAAATGGAGGGAAGAAATATTGGAATGTGCTCAATAGTGCTAAAAACTAGGTGAAGATAATAATTATCTGTGGAGCTTTTTGAACAGTACTTTGGGTTCTTTTTTAATAAATAGAACTCAGGAATTGGTGCTTTTAACAAGTGCTTCAGGTGGTTCCGGTGCAGCTGGTTACAAAACCTACATTTGGGAACCTCAATCAGACAACACAATTGGTTGTAACCATGGAAACGATGTTATCCATATTTCTTTTTCTAGTTCACTTTAGTAATTGCCATTACAATTCAAAATTAGCTTCCAATCGAGAACAACGGTGTTATTTTCAGAAGTGTTAAAATGAGAACATATATTTTTTCTCAAGGCAGTTTTCCTTCATGTAGAAAAATGAATAAATCAGGACCCTTGTAGTTATGCTCTACTTGAAAAATTTGAGCAGGTTTGCTATTTCATGCCTGGGTTTCTTTTCATTTTTAAGTTTTTGATATTATAGGTCAAGTGTCATAGTAATCCATGTTTCTGTCCATGACTAAATTAAATTAACTTCAGAAGAACAGTCAGTGTTATTCTCAAACCTCAGCATTAACACCATTTCTCATCCGAATGGACATGCATGTCAATACTAGGGTAAGGAGGCTTAATTATATTTTGTACACTTTTATATTAATATTTATTAATACTAATAGAGCTAATTTTAATCTAATGCAAATCTAATTTTACTCTAATCTAATATTTTCTCTTTAAAGACCTGTGTGTTACCTTGTTTGTAAGAATGTCAATTCATTTCAACAATAACCTCATCCCTCATACTTCTTTGAATTAGGAGTATGCAAATATAGTGTATAAGGAAACAAAAAAGCATAATATTTGTCAATGTGCTTAATTATTTCTGTGACCTTGATGATAGGTAAATTATTAGAATGAAGTTATTTAATTTTCTTCCTGTTTCCTCCAGTATTAAGTTGTTTCCCAGGAAGTAACACAAAACACATCCTGGTGTTTACATGAATAGTTTTATTACCTGAAGAAGCCATTATTGAAAATTTGACAAGTTATAAGAGCATTTCTTTACATGGTTGAATACAAGTGCTCTGAAGAGATTAAATGTCCAACAATATGGAGATCAGAATAAGTAGAATTGAAGACAAAACTTAACATTTCAAAAATTTGCATAGAGCAACTATATTTCATAAGAGAGAACACTGAATTATATACTTTAGAGTGAATATTAAGTTCAAGCAGTGCTTTAAAAGGATGTTTATTTTGTTGATGTTAAGCTGGATTATTTTATCCCAAGGCAAATCAGCGGGTCTGTGCAATGCCATTAGTATGTTCTAGCCACGATTTAAATAAAAGCCTAGTCCATTAGCAGGGCATAAATAGTTCTCTCTGAGCAGTGCTGGTCTTGATGAATGCCTTGGAAGTATTAGCCAAAGAGATAAGGTGATAGATTGGATTTTGAAGAGTTTAATTTTTTTCCTCTTTGCTTTCTAAAGGTAGTGAAAGGAGAAGCTTAGTCTTTGTGATAAAATTCTAACCTGTCACCTCATTAATTTAAAATCAATGTGAATTTGGTTGGGAGTCTGCACTACAATTTAAGATTGCTTAATATTAAGTGTTATTAATAGGATGCGAGAATCAAGGAGACAGGTGTGTGCGTGTGTGTGAGTGCACATGAACATGTGCACATGCTTAAGTAAAGGTGTTTGTAATGTACTTAATAAAGGTGCTGGTGAAAAGTTAAACTAGCAGGAATTGGTGAAAATTTAAACTAGCAGGAATTAGTGAGAACAGCCAGAATTACCGATTTGACTGGTGCTACCCAAGAAGAAAATACGCCTAACATTTTGGAGGAGGGAAATTAATGAAGAAGAAGAGAAAATGCTACACTAAGAAAGCAGCAAGATAGAGGAGAGAGAGCCAGTATTTCCAGAAGCCAACTGGTTACCCAGAAAACACCTCCCTCTACAGGGTGCTAGACACTCTGTGGATTTACTGTATTTCTGTCTGTTCTCTGTCTTTGCGTAATAAAAAGCTTATTTATTTGTTGTTTAGTTCACCAAAAACTGACAAAGCTATAGTGGGTTTGTTCAAACTAAACTCTTAATAGCCTAAATAATGCATGAATTACAATGCTCCTTTAATCATTTATAATTAGAAAATCGAGGGTATTATGCATTTTTGATGGTTAATGTCACTGAGATCTGATAGTCTAGTAGATCCATTCCATTTCAGAGATACCTGCCCAGGAAACCTCCTTGGTTATGTCATCCCCTCTCCTAGACAAGGCTCATGACCAACTGAAAAAGTGTTTCTCTTAAACTTTCCCTTTTTCTTACATATCATCCTGCTTTTATTAAGAAACTTCTAGTTGGGACTAAGTATAATGCAACTGACAAAACTGTCGATTACATATGTCAATATATTCATTTTTATCATGATGAAAATTTTGTTATTTTTGTGTTTATGTTTCTCAGCTCATCTTACTAGAGAAGAGGCAATGTATGTTCCACTGCCATATCTCTAGCACTTACTACACTATCTGGCACACCATATTAGCTTAATAAATACTTAATACTTTTAACAATTTCTTTTGAAAATCAAACTTCTATTCACATATTATATGCTAGGTTGATTAGTTAAGTGTGCAAATTGAAATCCGACTGTCAGGATTGGAATCCAGTTACTCCTAGTTGTGTAACCTTGGGCAAATTATTTTTGTAAAATAAGACTGATAACAGTGCCTATTTCATGAATTGTTTATAAAAGGCTTTGCTAAATACCTGGCACAGAGAAAATATTCAATATATCTTAGCTACTAATATCATTTAAGGTGAATTACTTAATAGATGCTGCATTTCATTTATTACATGTTGATTTTCCCTAACTTAACTTAATCTCAGTGGTTAACTTTAACTTCACATGTTCTGGATATCTTCCTGTCCTTCCCCACTCCTACTACTACAAAGAACCAGCTATAAGAAGCAAATTATAATTCAGCTAACTTGTTTGGAAATACTGGTCAAAATGAATTGGTTGTAAACCTTCGACAAAAGCTATCTGAAATCAGGACAGGTAAGTATTAAGTGGCAAGATGCTGAGATGTAATTCATCTTAACAAATACCTATTAAGAACCAACTAGAAGCTCAGCAATGTGCTAGAAAAAACAAGAAAATAATTACATTTATCGATTGCCTATTCTAAACTTCCTTGTGCTTGATGCAACATACATCATCTTATTTAAGTTCTCAAAATTATGCTGTGGAGTAGGCATTCTAATTTACGTAATGATTCCAAGTCAATGCATGGTTTTCTACTTTTTTTCTACTAAAGCTCATTGCTAGGCACAATGGAGCAGATTTAATGAATAAAGGAAGGACTTTAAACAAAACTGTCTAGTAATGCATAGAATGAATGGTAGTGCTAGGCCAGTGGTTTCCTACCACTTAACTCTAGCCATGGGACTCTAGCAAAGTAAAAGTCCACCATATAAAATAGACCAGTAAGTGCTGCTCTGGTGGATGTAGGGGTAGTGACATCAAAACCACTTGATGTCTCCTTTTCCTTTTTTACTTCATTATGCGGCAGCACTTAATTTCCCTCAGCACTAAACTCTGTTAATTCAGAGACTGGTTGCAAAACAATTATCCCCAATTTACAGATTGAGAGTAATCTGAGCCCAAGAGATGTTAAGTAAGTGGTTGCCCCATTTCCTTATTAACCGTCGTTTTCCAGACAATTAGATGTGCTCAAGGAATTTTAATTCCATACTGTGTCTAAGGCCTGTTTTATAACAGAAAGAGCCATGTTGGCCAAAGCTTCTTAGATGATGCTTGTATAAAATTTATACATTGAACACTTCTTATTAAAATAAAGGAATGTATTCAAAATTTTTATTTCACAAATTGCATAAAGTATTATATCATTTTAGCTATTAATATATCACTTGGAATGGTGACAGGTCTTCCATGGCCTGCACAACCTCAATGAGATGACAAGATCAGGCAATGGTTAGTCAGAGAAGATTCATCTGCACAGACAAATTCTGCAGAAAGTGTAGGAGGTGCTGGCCTGCCTGGTAAGGATTTTGGTTACATTTTTAGTACTATGCAAATAAATTGATATATTGAGTGTAATGGGAACTAGATTTCTCACTGTTAGAGAAGGGGCAAACAGATATGGAAAGGGTAAAGAATTTTTAAAAGCCTATGGTATTGGATTAAAATCACAGGTGTAGATGTGAACTGACATTATATACACATACACAGACACATATGCACATATATACTATATGTAAAGACACAACTAATACATGACCTGATCCTGGATTTGATCTGACACTAGAAGGGATAGTGTTTTAAGGCAAATATAGAACATGTTACAAAATTGTGGAATCTGGATAGAGTCCATGTGAGCCCTTTGTGGTATTCTTGCTAGTTATTTGTGTTGAAATTATTTTAAAATATTAAATCAGAAAGTTAATATGTGTTTGCTTGATTTATTAAACTTCCACATTAAAATCTAAGTTCTCCCTTAAGCTTCCAAATTTAGGTTAAAAATCTAAATAGTCTACTTATAGACTTAATACATTTTAACAACCACTTGTAGTAAGCCTGTTGATTAATACAAATCACAATTTCAAATATTTTAAACTGCATTTATGCATTTTATATGTAATTTATTTTAAAATATATAAATTGACTACTGTAAAAAAATACTACCATAAGTTTAATAACTATAATATACTAATATATTTATTCTCAAATGATCCAATATAACACTTGTTAAAATTTCTTCTTAAAATCACAAATTTGTATTAGTCAGTTATATATTTTAGTTGGAATTTCCAGAATAACTTACATTAATAAGCCCAAATTGGCCTAAACATTTAACACACTTAAAATCTACACATTATTCTTTTGCTCTTGGATTACTCATGGTGGAAGAAGCTGGCTGCTTTGTGATGAGGAAACAGCCCTGTGAAGAAGCCATTATAGTGAGGAACTAAGAGCTTTAGTGAATAGCCAGTGAGGAACTGAGTCCTGCCAACAACCATGTGAGTGAGAATAACATTTGATCTAGTGCTGGTTGAGTCTCCAGGTGACTGAGTTCCAGCCAATGGCTTCACTGCATCCTCATGAGACTCTGAACCAGAATCATCTAATTAAGCTACTCTGATTCCTGCCCTAAGAAACTGGGTGTAATAATAAAGGTTATTTTAAGCTACTAAACTTCGAGGTAATTTGCTTATGTAGCAATAGATAATTAATGTACTTTTCATGCAAATTTTCTGAGTTTGCCTTCTCAGTTCCTATGGCTTACTAAATGACGGAAAGTGGCAGCTTATATGTGACTGAATTTTTGCATTCAATGCTGAGAGAATGTACTGAGACCTATATATATAGTTGCCATATTAGTGACTCCATAATTTGAAGTAGACCACCAAAAATGAAGGCAGTCACATAATCCCCCTTAGTTTCAAATCTAGGTTACTTAATCCTTACTTCTAATAACCAAAGACTGCAAACTTTATCCAGTCTACTTCTATTTACTTGATTGAATTTTGTATTTCTTTGGATGTAAAGGTATATACATTCATTCCCAACAAGGTCTAAACATCTTTGGATTTAAAGGAATCTTGCATTTTTTTTCACATATTTTCTGCCTAACACACTATTGCTTATTTTAAATTATATTCAGTGACATTCTGAATATCTCTCATGGCTTTCTCCATTTAGACACAACTTCTAATATTATTGTGGATGTATTTCTTTAGTGCAGTCATTTCCTGTCTTATCTCCATGCCTGTATTAACTTCACTTATTCAGCCTATCATGATTTTCCCTTTTAGCTCTATCACATGATCACTTATCCATTTTTCAAGGCCCAATTCTATAGAACCTTGTTGTTAACTATACTCTCTCAATAGGAGAATTGTTCCTCTGTGTTTCTGAAATGTGTTGCTTGAAAATGAAAAAAAAAAGCACAAAGTTCTTCATTTTCCTTCTCTTTGTGGCCTGATTTCCAATAATAATGCATGCTGTTAAGAGCAGTCAACGGATTTCACCTCTGCCTACAGTATAATACCTAAACTGTTTAGGTGGAAAGGTTATAACCCCATTGAATCACTTTAATGTTATATAAACAACAAATTTGTTGTGGTTGTTGTTGTGTAAAATTGTGTTAGAATTTGTTGAATAATAGTAGTAATTTGTTTCCTGTGAAACCACTATTATTGTTAAGCTCTAAAGAAAAAATATGTATAAATATATCAGAATACTTAGCGCCTAGGCAATGTGAGAATGAAGCTGTGCCACATGCTAATATTGGTGGTAATGATTTCTAATATAAACATTCTTCACTAGATATTCTGCTCATAGCACTAAGTTTATTTGAGCACACAGAATCTAGGAGTGTGTAACTTGTAGTAAACATTTGGTAAAAACATGTTGAACAGATGACAATTAATAGCAGTTCAGAGAAGTGCATAATGTAGAGAAATGAACACACAGACACACACAATCATCTTCAAAGTTCTAAAACTGCTCAGTATTGAGTGAGATTGGTGAGGAAGTATTAATTAGTTCTCCAGAGTAAAGCTAGGAATCTTGAACTAAAAAAAGAATTTTCCCTTTTACTTTAGCTATAGATTTTTAGAATTGCAAATAGCAACATAGAAAAAAAGTTTTTGTCATTTAACTTGTGAAACATAAACATAATTCGTTTTCACTTTTATATGTACATGGGAAATATTTCTGCTTTTATAGATTGATTTTTTCTTTTATCCAAATATCTCCTGGAGTCGTTTAAAGTAAACATCACATCGACTTCATTAATTTCATGTTATTCCATAATTTGTTTTCTTATTTTCAAGTAGAAAAATTAAAGTTTCACTGCATTTTAAACTCAGTTTTTGCCTACAACTGAAAATTTGCCATTTAGTCAGATATAGCTAGTGTGTAAATAAAACCTAAGCATGTGATTTTGAAACTATGTTAGTAAAGAGTGCATTTCAGTTGGGATACATTGGTGGAAAGAAAAGGGAAAGAAAACAAAAATTCTTGGGTCATGGTGTGTACCACAATATTAAAACATTTGATTTACTGCATAATTCTCTTTGGATTATTTTACACAGTGGAAAATGTAGTGTTGTATCTGTTTAGCTCTCTTGATTATTTCATGCAATATAAAGGGTATTTTTCTTTTGATACAAAACTGACAATCTATGGGTAAAATTTCAGCAAACAAAATAAGGTGCTATTTCTATTTACTCTGAAAAGGACAGTATTGAAAAATACTTTGTTTTTGTAGTATAGGTGTTGTGACAGCCTAGATCATAGTGACTATTTACAATATCTTTTTGGTGTTCAATAAAGGAGAAATGAAGAAATAAAATTGTCATTTTCTTGGAGTTCTATCTAAGCTTTCGTTCCCATGACCAATATAAAGCATGTTTGTTGGGAACAATCTTTGATTGGAATGAGACACTTGGTCTGATCATAGAAAGATGGATGGCCTAAAGAGTTCTTGCTTCACCAGCTTTTAGAACAAAACCAGTAGCATGTGTGCATTACTTGTCCTTTGTTAAACTTTAAGGAGCTTTGCTCTGGCAATGCGTGATACAGTTCTGTTGAAAGTTTTTAACAAGATCACAGTGGGGTCAGTGTGCATCAGAATTTACAGCTAGAGACCTTGTGTCAGTTATAGAAAACAACTGTCAATGCAAAATATCAGGATGATCTCATAAACATTGTAACACACAGAGGAGATGCTGACTAATCAAAGTTTTGTTCCATTGTTACGTGGGGAACTTTGATGCACAACTCAGCTAACTTTCTTGTGGTAGAGAATGTGAGAGTACATTTTCATCATGAATATATTTCATCATACTCTTTGTTACAGCTATTTCAGCTTTTCTTTCTTTCTTTTCCTTTTTTTTTTTTTTTTTTGATACTGAGTCTCGCTCTGTCACCCAGGCTGGAGTGTAGTGATGCGATCTTGGCTCACCGCAAACTCCGCCTCTTGGGTTCAAGCAATTATCTGCCTCAGCCTCCCGAGTAGCTGGGACTACAGGCGCCCACCACCACGCCCCACTAATTTTTTTTGTATTTTTTTAGTAGAGACGGGGTTTCACCGTGTTAGCCAGGATGGTCTCGATCTCCTGACCTCGTGATCCGCCAGCCTCGGCCTCCCAAAGTGCTGGGATTACAGGCGTGAGCCACCGCACCCGGCTATTTCAGCTTTTCAATTCTACTTTGTCTCCTTGCCTCCTATTTTCCCAAATTGCCACTTTGTGAGACCTTCAATAGATGCCTACCTCTCACCAAATAAAAGCTAAATGACTGTCTTACATTATATGGCCCATTGTGTCTTGTGGTTCTTTATGATTTGGTTTCTGTCTACCTTTTTACCCTCACCTCTTATCCCAGGATACCTAGTTAAGCCGTAGGAAGCTGCTCAGAATTGCAGCCCTACATTTTGATACCTCTAACTCTTTATGCATGCTAGTCTTTCTCCCTTTATTGTCTTTCTTTAGCTTTACACACTTGAAAAATTCCTATTCATCCTTCAACGCACAGTTCTGATGTCATCCCCAACATCACCTTCCTTCTCTGTCCAGAACTAGAATCTTTTCTTTAAATATATAATTTCAATTTTATTTTAGATTCATGGTATATATGTGCAGGTTTGTTGCAGGTATATTGCCTGACGCTGAGGTTTGGGATATGAATGATACCACCACTAAGGTAGTGAGCATAATATCCAATAGTTATAGTTATTTTTTCAACATTTGTCCCTCTCCCTCCCTCCTCTACTAGCCCCCAGTGTCTATTGTTGCCATCTTTATGTCCATGATTACCTAATGTTTAGCTCTCATTTATAACTGTGAATATGTGGTATTTGGTTTTCTGTTTCTGCATTAATTTGCTTTGGATAATGGCCTCCAGCTGCACCTATGTTTCTGTAAAGGACATGATTTCATTGTTTTTCATGGCTGCATAGTATTCCATAGTGTATTTGTACTAGGTTTTCTTTATCCAATCAATCATTGATGGACATTTGGGTTTATTCCATGTCTTTGTTACTTTAAACAGTGCTGCAATGAACATATAGGTGCATGTGTCTTTTTGATAGAATAATTAATTCTCTCATGGACATACATCCAGAAAGAGTATTCCTGGGTCAAATGGTTGTTCTGTTTTAAGTTCTCCAAGAAATCTCCAAACTGCTTTCCACAGTGGTTTAATTTATTTACATTCCCATCAGCAGTGGATAAGCATTCCCTTTTATCTACTGCCTCACCAATATCTATTGCTTTTTAACTTTTTAATAATTGCCATTTCGACTGTGGTAAGACGGCTTCTCATTTTAGTTTTGATTTGCATCTCTCTGATGGTTAGTACTGTTGAACATTTTTTCATATGTTTTTTGGCCATTTGTATATCTTCTTTTGAGAAGTGTCTGTTCATGTCTTTTGCTCACTTTTTAATGGGATTATTTATTTTTTGCTTGTTGAATTATTTACATACTTTACAGATTCTGGATATTAGACCTTTGTCAGATGCATACTTGCAAATACTTTCTCCCATTATGTTAGTGTTGGTTGTCTGTTTATCGATTTTTTTTTGGCTTTGCAGAAGCTCATTAGTTTAATTAGATCCTAGTTGTTAATATTTGTTTTGGTTGCAATTGCTTTTCAGGACTTAATCATAAATTATTTCCCAAAACTGATGTCCAGAATGGGGTTTCCTGGTTTCTGTCTAGGGTTATTATAGTTTGAGGTCTTATATTTAAATCCTTAATCCATCTTCAGTTAATTTTTGTATAATTTTGAAAGTTAGGGTTTGAGTTTCATTCTTCTGCATATAGCTAGTCAGCTATTCCAGCAACATTTGTTGAATAGGGAATCCTTTCCCCATTGCTTATTTTTGTCATCTTTGTCAAGATCAGATGACTGTAGGTGTGTGGCGGCTTTATTTCTGGGTTCTTTACTCGTTCCATTGGTCAATGTGTCTGTTTTTGTACCGGTACCATGCTGTTTTGGTTACTATTGCCTTATAGTATAGTTTGAAATCAGGTAATGTAATGCCTCTGGTTTTGCTTTTTTTGCTTAGGAAAGCTCTGGCTATTTGGGCTTTTTTTGGTTCTATATGAATTTTAGAATTTTTTTTCTAATTCTGTGAAAAATGACATGGATAGTTTGATAGGAATAACATTGAATCTGTAGATTAGTTTGGCAGTATGGATATTTTAATAATATTAATTCTTCTTACCCATGAGTATGGAATATTTTTCCATTTGCTCAGATTCTCTTATTTCTTTCAGTAGTGTTCTATAGTTCTTGCAGAGATCTTTCATCCTCTTGGTTAGATATATCTGTAGGCATTTTATTTTTTGTGGCTATCATAAATGGGGTTGTGTTCTTGATTTTGCTCTTAGCTTGAACATTATTTATGTATAGAAATGCTATTAATTTTTGTATATTGATTTTGTATTCTGAAACTTCATTGAAATTGTTTATCAGTTCCCAGAGCCCTTTGGCAGAGACTTTAGGGCTTTCTAGGTATAGAATCATATCATCAATGGAGAGAGTATAACTTCTTCTTTTCCTTTGGATGCACTTTATTTCTTTTTCTTGCCTGATTGCTCTGGCAAGGACTACCAGTACAATGTTGAAGAGTAGTGGCGAGTGGGCATCCTTGTCTTGTTCCAGTTCCAAAGGGGAATGCTTCTAATTTTGTCCATTCAGTATGATGTTGGCTATGAGTTTGTCATGGATGGCTCTTATTATTTTGAAGTATGTTCCTTCAATGCCTAGTTTGTTGAGGGTTTTTATCATGAAGAGATGTTGGACTTTATTGAAGGCCTTTTTTACCTCTATTGAGATAGTCGTATAGTTTTTGTTTCTAATTCTGTTTATGTGGTGGATCACAGGTGTTGATTTGCATTATGTTGAACCAAACTTCTGTCTCAGGGGTGAAGCCTACTTGATCATGGTGAATTAACTTTGTGATGTGCTGCTGGACTCAGTTTGTTAGTATTTTGTTGCAGATTTTTGCATCTATGTTCATCAGGGATATTGGCCTATAATTTTCTTTTTTGTTGTTGTCTGCCAGTTTTTGGTATCAGGGTGATGCTGGCTTTGTAAAACGTGTTAGGGAGAATTCTCTCCTCCTTGATTTTTTGGAATAGTTTCAGTAGAATTGGTACCAGCTTTTATTTGTACATATGGTAGAATAAGGCTGTGAATTTATCTGGTCTAGGGCTTCTTTGGTTGGTAGTTTTTTATTACTGATTCAATTTTGGAACTCGTTGGTCTGTTCAGGGTTTTAGAACTAATGTCATATATATGTGCGTGTGTGTATATATATTTGTAATCATTGAATTATCATCCTGCCTAACTATCTTTCTCAACTTGTGTAATCATTGAGTCTTATCCATTTTTTTGCATCCTATGTATAATGTATAACACCTAAGGATAGTCCCTGAAACATACTAGATATTTAATAAATGTGACTGAATTAAAAAGTACAGAGCATTTTACTACATCTTCTTGGTGGCTGTGTTTCTCCTGGCTGGGAAGCTATGATAAGAATCTATTTATACAATTTAATTTTCTTTCATTTCCGGTCTTTTAATGGTCTATCATTTTCATTCATTTTTTTTCCTGAATTATATGAACTACATCACTGGCACAGCATATCTCCCTAATCAGAAAATCAGATATCTTACAATACACCCTATTGAAGAAAACCTCAATACCAGGAGGGAATTTTAAATGACCCCTAGCTACTATAACTGTTGCTCCAAAGTCCATTTGTAACTCATGTAAATATTGTCTATCAAATAGTTAAGGAGTAAAGATCTCAGCTATTATGAACAGGGTGTAATCTTACAAAGGAAGTATTGCAGTATCCATTTCCTTACATATTATTTTCAGCATTAATTGAATTTAAAAGTGTTTATTCTTCTCTCCAAAAAGTAATACAAAAAATACCTCCTATTTTCCCAATATGGTCAGAGCACTAAGGCAACTAACTAGCTAGGCAGGAGAACATAGAGGAAACAGAATGGAGAGCAAAGGAAAGCCACAGGCCACCAAAATATGAAGAGAAGCAATTGCCTGGTAGCTGGTAAACAGCAGGTTTTAGGATTTGGCAGATTATAATAAGCTACTTCTTTTAAATGCAATTGATTAAAAAATGTATTTAAAGTAGACTTCATACAAACTTATGAGCCAAGACTAAGTATTTTCCCAAATAACGATAAAAGCTAGGTTTAAGTAATTAATACTCTATCAAAGGAAAAAGTAGAGTATGACAAATAGAAAAATATACTCAGAACAAAAAAAAAGGAAGATAAATCAGGATTATTCAAGGCTTTTTCCAGTCCTAAAGTTTGAATTAGAAATTTATAACAGATTACCCTGGGTAGACTGCATAGTCTGCTAAATATATTTATGCCCATAGGAACTACATAGTTTGAGTTCAAGGCACTCTCAAGTTAATGTGTTTGTATTACTGTTAGAAGAATTCCTCTGTTAGCTTGTGTTTGCTTATCTTCAACAAGTTTTGTGCTTGGTTTACATACTCACTATAGAAGATACAGAACGAGTCATAATGTGAAAATATAGATGATATTGTTTTGCTCTGTGTCCCTACCCAAATCTCATCTTGAATTGTAATCCCCACATTTCAAGGGAGGGATCTGTAATACCCATGTGTCAAAGGAGGGAGGTGATTGGATCATAGGGATGGTTTCCCCCACGCTGTTCTCATGATAGTGAGTGGGTTCTCATGAGATCTGATGGTTTTACAGGCATCTGTCATATCCCCTGCTTGCACTTCTCTCTCCTGCTGCCTTAAGAAGAAGGTTTCTGCTTCCCCTTCTGTCATGATTGTAAGTTTCTGGAGGCCTCCCCAGTCATGTGTAACTGTGAGTCAATTAAACTCCTTTCTTTCATAAATTGCCTAGTCTTGGGTATTTCTTTATAGCAGTGTGAAAATGGACTAGTAAAATAAATTGGTACTGAAGATGGTGGGGCACTGCTAGAAAGATACTTGAAAGTGTGGAAGCGACTTTGGAACTGGGTAATGGGCAGAAGTTGAAACAGTTTGGAGAGCTCAGAAGAAGACAGGAATAAGTGGGGAAGTTTTGAACTTCCTAGAGACTTGTTGAATGGTTTTGACCAAAATGCTGATAGTGATGTGAACAATGAAGTCCAGGCTGAGGTGGTCTCAGACGGAGATGAGGAACTTATTGGGAACTGGAGTAAAGGTCACTCATGCTATGCTTTAGCAAAGAGACTGGTGGCATTTTGCTCCTGCTGTAGAGATCTGTGGAACATTGAGAGAGATGATTTAAGGTATCTGGTAAAATGAAAACTGTGAATTTGGGAGAGATGATTTAGGGTACCTGGTAAAAGAAATTTCTAAGCAGCAAATTATTCAATATGTGACCTGGATTATTTTGAAAGCATTCAGTTTTATGCATACCCAAATAAATGGTTTGAAATTGTCACTTTATATTGAAAAGGGAAGCAAAGAATAAAAGTTTGGGAAATTTGCAGCCTGACAATGTAATAGAAGAAGAAAAACACATTTTCTGGGGAGAAATTCAAGCTGGTTGCAGAAATTTGCATAAGTAACAAGGAGCCAAATGTTAATCACCGAAACAATAGGGAAAATGTCTCCAGGGAATGTCGGAGAACTTTGTGGCAGCCCCTCCCATCACAGGCCCAGAGGCCTAGGAAGAAAATAGGTTTTGTGAGCCAGGCCCAGGGACTCCACTGCTCTGGGCACCTTGGACATGGTGCCCTGAGTCCAGCTGCTTCAGCTCCAGTCATGGCTAAAAGGGGCCAAGGTACAGCTAGGACCATTGCTTCAGAGGATCCAAACCCCAATCCTTGGCAGCTTTCATGTGGTGTTGGGCCTGCAGTGCACAGAAGTCAAGAATTGAGGTTTGGGAACCTCTGTCTAGATTTCAGAGGATGTATGGAAATGCCTGGATGTTCAGGCAGAAGTCTTCTGCAGGGGTGAAGCCCTCATGGAGAACCTCTACTAAGGTGGTGCAGAGGGGAAAGTGGGGTTGGAGCCCCAACACAGAGTCCCCACTGGGGCAATGTCTAGTGGAGCTGTGAGAAGAGGGCCACCATCCTCCAGACCCCATAGTGGTAGATCCACTGACAGCTTGCACCATGCCCCTGTAAAAGCCACAGGCACTCAATGCCAGCCTGTGAAGGAGCTGCCCAAGGCTGTGAGAGCCCACCCCTTGTATCAGCATGGCCTGGATGTGAGACATGGAATCAAAGGAGATTATTTCGGAGACTTAACATTTAATGAGTGTCCCGCTGGATTTTAGACTTGCATGGGGCCTGTAGCTGCTTTATTTTGGCCAATCTCTCCCATTTGGACTGACAGCATTTATCCAATGCCTGTACTTCCATTGTACCTTGAAAGTAACTAACTTGCGTTTAATTTTACAGGCTCCTAGGTGGAAGGGAATTCCCTTACCTCAGATGAGATTTTGGATGTGGACTTTTAAGTTAATGCTGGAATGAGTTAAGACTAGGGGACTGTAGGAAGGCATTATTAATTTTGAAATGTGAAAAGACAGGAGATTTGCGACAGGCCAGGGGTGAAATGATATGGTGTGGCTCTGTAACCCTATCCCCACCCAAATCTCATCTCAGATTGTAATCCACATGTGTGGAGGAATAGAGGTGACTGAATCATGGCGGCAGTCTCCCCATGCTGTTCTTGTGATAGTGAGCGAGTTCTCATGAGAGCTGGTGGTTTTATAAGTATCTGGCATTTCCCCTGCTTGCACTTCTCTCTCCTGTCACCTCATTCTTCACAATAAAGGTGCCTGATTCCCCATCTGCCATGATTGTAAGTTTCCTGAGGCCTCTACAGCCATGCAGAAATGTGAGTCAATTAAACCTCTTTCCTTTGTAAATTATTCAATCTTTCATAGCAGTGTGAAAATGGACTAATACAGTAGAAAAATACCCCAAAATTAATAAAAGCATCAAACCAACCAAAACATATGGTTTAGAGACTTTGGGTGTAGCAACAGGCATATTGACATGGGTTCTGAATGTGTCACTGCATACAGCATGTGGTTATTATTAAAATGCATCCTCCTGAAACCATCAAATTGTTAATGTGGTTCATCAAACACAACAAAAACAGAAATTTCAAAACAGAAATTTGTAATGCTTCTATCAAGGAATTAAAATAAACAAGTATTTTCATGATTAAATGGGCAAACCCCAGGTGTTTTTCAAAAACAATGTTTCTAAAAGGATTTTTTCTACAATATTATCACATTAGAATAGTTTTCTCTGCTTAAAAACATCCAATCACCAAATACTTGGAGAATTATACTGAAATTGTCTGCAAATTGTTCCAGTTTTACTTGTAGAGTCTAAGAAAATAGATCTAATTTCTCATTCAAAATGTTACCCCATGAAGAAAGTCTTTGCTGTCTTTCAACTCTTCTTTTGTCTTATAAAAACAGTCCTACTTTCTTGAATTCTCTCATTATGTGGTTTGAAAGCTTCTCATTTTGACACTCATCTGAAAACTCCAGTTAGTCATTTTTCCTCTTAAGTATGCTAATTATTTTCAGTGACTTTAATTATCATTTTTTGGCAAATGGCTACAAAATAAAAAAAAAAGCACTTTTCTATTTTCCAGAATTTTAATCATATGAATTTATTTCAAGAAATAAATAGAACTCTGAACAAGCTCTAATTTAACATTTTTCTCTATGCCCTGATTCACTTCTACTGTTTCCTTAGCTCCATCTTGCATTGTGTTTTTTGTTTTACAGTCTAAGCACAGAGGCACATTTGGAGAATCAGTTGGTTGAAACCTGGTAAGAAGTAAGTTGAAATATGTTGAACAGTCCAGTCCCAGGACACTCTTGAATGCAACTTTTGTAGAATGCTGATGACCTTGTGAATTAACTGGAAACATCAAAGAAAGAGGTTATATTGTGTACATTCAAAATTCAGAAGATAGAGCCATCTTCTATTGTGAAACAATGGCTTTTGTTCATCAGTGTCTGTGTTATAGTGGATTCTTAAGTTTGATGAGGTGAGACTATTTAATTTAATTCTGAGTACAGCACATTGGATCCTAATGAGCTGAGTTTTCCCTATTGCCTAATTCACTTCTTCTATAGCTAGGTGCGTAGGAAGGCCACTAGAAATCCATTAGATTGGAAAGCTAAAAAACGGGTCCCATGTGACTGAAGAGAGAGAAAATACCTCACTTGTGGAGTTAGAACTAAGTTCCTGGCTCACTGAAGGAAAATAATTTATTTTCCTTTATTTACAATTTAATTTTTTGACCCTAACTTTAGGTATTAAAACTGAAAATAATATCCATATGAATAAAATGCCAGTTCTGTCCATTTGTCTATCATTGCACCAAAAAAAGTTTACATAGATTTTCACCAAAATTGGAGGTTAGTTTTAGAGTGACTTAATTTAAAATATAGCCTGTAAAATATATTCAATATTTACATGGGGTTGCAGAATAGCACATTTTGCACAGCCCATGCATGGCACATAGTAAGCTCTCACTTTCTAGTCACTAAGTGCTAGCTCTTTCATTATTTCTTTCATCATCATTATCTACACCATACCTATGGGTTACAAATTCAACTTGGATTTTTTACTCTTTTACTAACCACACAACCTCCTCCACTGTCTTTTGAAGCTTTTCTGTTTGAGCAAAATCTGAGAGTAAAACCTTACTCAGATTTTATGAAATAATTGTCACTTTCACTTATATTTTCTGGGTAAGGAATGGGTGTCAGGGCAGGGTTAGTTTGAAAGGAAGTGGAGGAAACAACATTCTCTCAAATCTTACTGCTCATATTCTAGTATCCTCACAGCCACACATGCATGCACTAAGAACTTTGTCAGAAAACAAAAATCTGATTTTGGTTTATTTCTTCCTCTCATGTCATGAAAAAGAAATCAATTGCCCAGATCTGCAGCAAAATGATTGCAAAATTGTTATTCATATACATTATCTTCCATCTCATAGTGAACTTGAGTCAGAAGCATGAGGCAACGTAAATGTTGCTAATGAAAAAATAATTCAAAAGCTTAACATCTTTATTTCTGCTTACTCATAGAATAAAAGATTCCGCCTATGCCACAGGCTTTTCCAGGACCTCTTCTCCTGTACATGAGCTGTAATATTTGTTTATTCTATGTTAGAACATACACAAATCTAGCAGGCTTCTCTAACCTGGCACTCTCAGTCTTCTATATTTCAGAAATGTGCCTATTATCTTGTCCCAGTTTTATTTCTTTTACCATCACAATTTTCCTAATACTTAAACTATTTATAAAACCTATGATTTATAATTTATGCAAGAAGACAGCATCTGTTTTTGACAATCATACTCTTTTATGATGTTTAAATATGCATAGCAAACAAACATCCCCTTCCTCTTCCCTGCAACTTTAGAATTAACCCACATATAATGTGCTTACAATTGGCTGGTAAATTCCTTGTCGTAATAATAATTTTTCAATAATAATTCCAGAATATTTTAAATTCAAATGGCATTTATAATTTGAGCAGTTCATCACCTAGAAAAATCTACTGCCACTAATTCTAAGAGACATTATAACCATTCAGTATCATAAACATGACTCTAAGTTCATAAAGTCTATAGGACATAAATAGGAAGCAATTGAGAGAAAGGAAACTGATGGAATGGAAATTACAAGCAAGAACCAGTTGTAATTAAGAGATACTGTAAAAACAGCCAATTAGATAAGAGATCTTTCCATCTGACGGTAGAAGCCAAAACATTTATGAACATTCTCATCAACTAAAAGTGGAAAGGGCATTATAGCAATAAGGAAGAAATACATTTATGGAAATGATTAAGGACCAGTATGTACAAAACAAAAATAGTTAAGGTTAATTACATTGACAATATCAAGCAGTGAGCACCCAAATTTTAACTCTATGGTAAATACTACCTCTGAATTCTCTACTACTGTGAATACTCATAAATGAATTTGATAAATATGTTTATAGTTTATTAGGTTTATTTTTTATTCTTTTGCTTTAATGGCAGTAAGTCTTTTTTCTCAATTTACTATTGGACACCTGATATTTTATTTCGTAATTTCTTTTTAGATCCCATTTTCAGGCATACCTATAAGAAAACACAGCATGGTAAATTTGGCATCTAAGAGCTATTCTTATCCATCTGTTTCCTTTAAAGTTGTAGACTTTTAAGGTACTGCAACTCATTTAGTGCATTTTGAAAATGCAATCTTCTAATTATACTACTAGTTATGTTAGTATACTGCTTTGTTTAGTATATGTTTGTATAGTGTATTACCATGGTTTTCACATTCATAGTCTCACTTGATCTTCACAAGATCCCTTTGGGTAAGCAGAGCAGGTGTTGTTATCATTGTTTGACACAAAAATAAGATACAAAAAGAGAAAGTGTTTTGCCTGGGAATTCATAACAAATTATCCATTGGCAGGACTGTACTTAGAATCTATATCTTCTCTATTTTATTCAGTATCCTTAGCATACCATTGCTTTGTCATATTTTTTTCATGCTTTCTTATTCATTTCAAACATTTATTTAACTCAAAATAACTTACAGGAAATTGTGCATGTGGCACATAGTCTACTATCAAAGATACATAATACACTTTTTGCATTATGCTACTAAAATTTATTTCTTTAAAAAATTCCAGAACCTCGGTATTTATGTGCTAGGGGCATAGTACTATGTTTCATTTTATAAAGTTTTCTTCTTAATGTATACACTTCAAGAGAGTAGAGACTCTAAGATTTTTAGTGCCTTGTAAGTTTTACAGAAACTTGTACAGTTATTTCTGACCTCTAACCCATGGAGAATTATTTTCTGCCATAGTTTATTTTATCTATATTTTACTTTGAAGTCTTATGAAACACTTGAAGAACCTACAATAAAAAACACATGAAATGTGGGTAATAAACCCCAAGTCCACATAGGAAATACAAGTTTTAGGAATAAAGAAAATAATACCAACAGCAGCACTTACTTAGCATTTACTATGAATGAATTACTTTTCTAAGTATTTTATGTGAGAGTCTGCATTGTTACTATGGTTAAGCAGTGACTTTTCTTACAACACAAGTAAAACAAAGAGAGATATAAATAGAAAGGAAAGGAAGGGAAAGGGTAAAAGAAGGGAAGAAGAGAAAGAGAAAAAGAAAGAGAGAAAGAGAATAAATGATGCTAAGTATATGAGCTTACCATGTATTAGGCTTTCAATATACCAGTTTACCATATTTGAAGGTTTACATGCCTTAACTCATGTTATTGTCACAATAGCTCTGTTGGGTAAGTTCTATTGATGACCTTATTTCAGATAGGAGGAAACAGGCACAGAATGAAGTAACTTAGCCTAGGGTACACAGCCATGAGTTTTATCGCTGGGATTCCTACCCATGAATCTAGCTCCAGGAATTGAAGGATTAACTATTTATTTAGTTGTACTGTCTCTGCATTGGAAAATTATTCTTCCAGAAAGTAAAAAACAAAACAAAACAAACAAAATTCCTCAGGAAACAATTTTTTCCTTACACTATTTACTCATATAGATATTGAGCGGGACCTTGGATAAACAAGTAGGCCAAGTCCTCAGTTACAGTTTACTTGGAGTAGACAATATTTCCATGATTGTTAGTTAAAGTCATGAAAAGCATTTGAAGTCAAAATTCAAATAAGCAAGGAAAATTGTTTAAAGGGTTCTCTAGAGTTAATCAGGAGGAATAAAAGGAAAAATACTTGGCTTCAAATGCCCCTTCTTCAAGCCATTGAGCTAGAAAAAAAAATGTATGTTGGTGGCAGGTATAAGACTAGAGACAGAGTACAGTTTTGGTTTCCTGCCTCTGAATATTAAAAGTTATCATTATCCATTATTGCATTATTGGTATTTCATATAGACTGTGGTTAAATTTAACTTGTGACATTGCTTTTTAACACATATAGAGAGAACTTAAGAAGGAGTTAGGTATCATTGCACCATGCCAGCATGTATCACCTGTAACTCTAGGCTTGTCTGTCTTCTATTGGGTAATTTCTCCACCGCGATAAATTGGGAGGCCAAGTGTTGTGCTGATAAGTCACATGAAACAGCTAACCAAGGCAGCTTAACTTTTCCCTCAGCTTGACCATACTTTAGACAGAATTCTTTCAAATTATAGACCCCTGACCTCCCTTTACAGAGCATTCACATTAGAAAACTTGTAAATTCTTTCTCTGCTTCTTTGAGATTTAAATCTTCTATATCCCAGGAATGTCTTTCTTAAGGACCTGGGAGTCATTCCTATAATATGTAGTCATTAGGAGAGCTAGCACCCCTATTTCCCAGTGTCTGGGAGTATAGGAGCCTAACTTCTGAAAGCAGCAATTAGCAATCACAAATGGCCTAATCACATTGTCCAGCTTTGCCCCTACAGTTCTGCAACATTTTTTTAGCAGCTCACACCAGCACTTAAAAACCCTCTTTCCTTTTGTTTCAGGGAGTTTAGTTCAATCTTTTTTTCCTATTGCAATAGTCTTGAATACAATCCTCCTTGCCTATTTAACTGCATATAGTGAAATTATTATTTAACAGCTTAGTTCCACTTCGGACTTACTGAGTTGCTTTTCTTCATCTTTCAGGAGGAAAGACATCATAGAAGTTGTAACTCAGAGAAGGGTCTTCCTTTAAGTCCATGCTGTGGGGACTGGGCCACTGCAGTATATTTCAGGCAGCGCTTCATGAAAACCTAAGACTTGAAGAAAACTGGTCCTTGTTTCCACAGTAAATGTTACAAGTGAAGTTGGGCTTTAAGGATATTTTATAAGCATTTTGAGAATTTTTCACATTTGTGTCTTAAAAGGATATGTTTTTTCCTTAACTCCAGTTTCTTTTCTTCCTTTCTAACATTATATTACATTTATCTTATTCTGTGGCATACATTTGTTTCCAAAAGCAATCCATGGTATTATCAGAAAGAAAAAATTGTTTTCTTACCTAAGTGAAGTTTTACTATATCCTTTATTGTTATTCAGGTATGGAACAATATAAACTAATTTTAGAATTTTTTTTATCATCACAATCTCCTATTTGAAATAAAAAACCATTATAATTCATTGCAAAGACTATTATGACAAATAACCCTCTCTCTTTAACTGATTACAAATTTTGTTTTATCACTATTTTTTATAACTACCATTACTACTATTATACTTTACTACTGGGCAATGTTCCATGTCTGTTTTTTGAAACCTAAAGATTCAAATGTTTAGAAATCCCTTGACTCAAAGGGCAAATAAAACTAAAAACTACAAATGCCTTTCTATTTATTAGCACCTTAGGCATGGAAAGAAAATATTAAATACTGTGAAATATTTCTAGGTAATATCCTAAAGCAAGACAATATCTCAATATAGCAAACTATTTTTATGTTTCATAAACATTTAAGTAAACAAACAATTTCATTCATGTTTCATTATGAAACATTCATGTTTTGTAAACATTTAAATAAAAAATTCCAGTGACCGAAAGTGGTTTCTACATTGGTCTTTACTTCCAAAGATTTATATTTATTATTTATCCCATCCAGAGCTCATCTTCAGGCCATAAAGTCCTACACTCTATCTCCCTCGCAACCTCCACCATCCCTGAGCTATTCTGTGGTTCTTTTCCCTTTTCCCTTGGTCCAGAATCTTACCATCACAGTTTCACGTCACAGACTCTTCCTTCCTCTTTCTCTCTGCTGTGATGAAATTGCTCTGCTGCCTGAGCTGTGTGAATGAGTTTGTGAGTTTGAGCTTACCTACTCTGCTTTTACCAGCTTCTTCTTTTTCTTTTTTGCTATCTTATGAGCAATATTAGTCAGGTAGTATCCCCATGGTGGAGCAAGACCATGTTAGAGTGGGGGTGACTAGAGAAGGAGAATTTGAAGGACAGGCTACTGAACAGAAAAACAGGAGACATTTCCTACCACCCTCCCAGCACTTCCTGGTGGTCTAGTAGGATCAAATTTTCTCCCACTGATTTTATTGGCTACATAGACTTCTACTATAAAGATATTTGATAATTTATCTAATCCTTACACTATTGTTGAATATTTAGGCTTGTCCAATCAGTTATTTTTAAACACAGTGTGGATGGAGTCATTGTAATGAAATTGTAAGCCTTTCCTTAATTTTCTTATTTTTTCTAAAACAAAATAAATGAGGGCATGCTATATCTGAGGTTATTATTTTCACACATCCTTTCAGAAATTTTAGCAGGCTGCCCCTATTAGGTGATAGAATCAGCCATATGAAATTATTGATGAACAAATATATTTGACTCTTAGAAACTTCAGTTTTATATTTTTCAGTCTAATGTGCATCATTGTACAGAAAATAATACTGAGTATTATACTTCCCTTTGTCTATTTTTGTCCAGGTGGCTTATATTTTTCTTACTTATTAGCAAAAGCTGTTTAGAAAGTCCATTTTCACATATAATCAGATAAGTATTTGCCTATTTTACAATTAATTTATGATTCATATTTGTAAATATAATTATTTAGATTTTCCTTAATGCATTTTGATACCTCATCATTTAAAAAATAAATAATTACTCTAGTAAGTCTTATTTAATACTTATTTCTATCCACATTAGTTTAATTTTTTTACATTCAAAAATATTTTTAGTTTTAATTGACAGTAATAATCATATATATTTATGGGGTGCAATGTGATGTTATGATACATGTATATATTGTATACATTAATTAAATCAGGCTAATTAACATACCATTGCACATGCTTTTTCTTTGTGGTAAGAAGTTTTTTTTTGGCTATTTTGGTAAGACTGCTTCATAGGTAGTAGTGTATTCTCTCATCATCAGGATATGATGTACGTAATGGTATCATAAAGGTACATAATGCCTTGTTTGCTCTATTTTGTGTGCAGTTTTTAAAAAACAATTTCAACTTTTATTTCAGATTTGGGAGTTGCACGTGCAGGTTTGTTACATGGGTATATTGCATGATGGGAAATGGTAAATGATAAATAGTACAGTTGATTGCATCACCCAGGTAGTGAGCATAGTACCCAAGAGTTAGCTTATCATCCCTGGCCCCTCTCCCTTCCTCTCCACTCTAGTAGTCCCCAGTGTCTATTGTTGCCATCTTTATGTCCATGAGTACCCAAAGTTTAGCTCCCACTTACAAGTGAGAATATGTGGTATTTGGTGTCCTGTTGCTATGTTAATTCACTTAGGATAATGGCCTCCAGCTGAATCTATGTTGCCTCAAAAACATGATTTTATTCTTTTTTATAGCTGTGTAGTATTCCATGGTGTATATGTACCACATTTTCTTTATCCAATCCACTGTTGATGGGTAGACAGTGAGAACATTTAAAATCTACCCTTCATGCACTTTTGAAACATAAAATACACTGTTATTAACTATATTCAGTAAGAAATATAAATATCTGATACTGGTCCAGAGTTTTCCTCTTTTCAACAGTGACATTTACAGAACTGGACTTATGATCATTTTCACAATTCAGAACAATGCAGTTCACCAGGCAAGTCCACTGAGAAAATTCTTCAGTTATATATTTGCCTTATGAGCATAGTAATTCAATTTGTTGATGGTATTTCAGTGGTGGGTTTTTAATTACATATCATTCTACTTGTCAAAAAATATTTATTTATTTATTTATTTATGTATTCATTTTTTGAGATGGAGTCTGGCCCTGTCGCTCAGGTTGGAGTGTAGTGGTGCGATCTCGGCTCACTGCAACCTCCACCTCCCGGGTTCAAGTAATTCTTCTGCCTCAGCCTCCCAAGTAGCTGGGAGTACAGATGCCAGCTACCATGCCCAGCTAATTTTTGTATTTTTAGTAGAGATGGGGTTTCATCATGTTGGCCAGGCTGGTCTTGAACTCCTGACCTAAGGTGATCCACATGCCTTGGTCTCCCAAAGTGCTGGGATTACAGGCATGAGATGCGGTACCCAGCCAATATTTGTCAAAAAATATTTAAATCAATGATGACATAGTGCCTTTAAGCCTTTAACAGACTGGTGTTGGGGAAATTGCTAGGCTAGAGATAGGTCCCTATATTTGGCATTACAGAAATTGGTCACAAAGAGTAAATAGTGTTAAAAATCTGAGAAATATTATTGTTTAGAATTTTTTAATGGTGAAATGCAAATATAGGGGAGTCATTGTAATTGCAGCAGTGGGACCTACCTTCTAATCTTGCTGAACATGACACAAATTACATCAGTTTGAACAAAGGCAACTACTAAAGAGGACACCAATACTGTAATGTTGATAGAAAGTAGAGATAAATGCTCTACACCAGGAGGTGACAAATCTTTTCCATAAAGGGTTAAATAGCAAACATTTTAGGCCATGTGTGTTATTTGTTGTTACTCAGCTCTGTCCTTGTCATGTGAAAGCTGCCATAGACAATACACAAACAAATGAGCGAGGCTGTATTCCCATAAATCTTTATTTATGAACATGGTAATTTGAATTTTCTGTGATTTTCATTTGTCATGTTTTTATTTTTTTAACCGCTTAGAAAAATGTACTTAGCTGGTGGGACATATAAAAATAGCTGCAGCCAGATTTGGCCCATGGGCAGTAGTTTTCTAATCCCTATTCAACACAATAAAATTAAATGAGGGTTTCACCTAGGTAGAATGAATTTCTCCAAATTAGGACATTCGCAGCAGTTTCAGTCCACTATTTAACTATAGGGAACAATTTCAGGTATTTAAATTTAGAATTTTAAATATCAAGTATCTGAAATAGATGGAAATAGCATTGAAAAGAAGCAAATAGGGGAACACCCAATCATATGAGTGATTTTTTCGTAATTAAGAAATGAAAGAGCAATGATATCTTTTATCAAGTGAAGCAGGAATTGGTACATGTGTCACTAAATCCAAAATTGTCTACCTGTATAAAGTCGTGTTGTTAAATAAATAAATTATCTAGTTTATTCATGTAAATCTTACCTTATTGCATTGGTCTAGAAAATTTAGGCCATGGAGTTCTTGCCCTTACTTCTCCATTTCACTTTGCACATATTAAAAATGACCTCATTTGCTTATACACCTAAAAAACAAGGTAGTGTTAGAACTTCATTGTAACTATCCTTTGTAAAAGACAAAAAATAATAATTGCAATATATTAATCCAACATATATTTATTGTTTACCTTGTGCTTGTGCTGTTCCAAGTAGTGGGATCGGAATTATAAACACTGGCGGCAAGCATTTTTATTTAACCTGTGTCAAGACAGCATTAATCGAAGTGGCAATAATAACATTGTTTTGGACTCCAGAAAGGCTTGCGTTAATTAAAATAGTCCATTTGAACTTCATTTGTTATATTGTTGGATTAGCAAATATAATGGATTTATTCCCAAAGAAGATTCAGCTGTACAACATGCATTTTATAATATTTGTATAACATGATAAAGTAATTGATTAAATAGAAAATTATAAATCATTCTACATACTTGTAGTATAGGAACAATTTGTTTACAAAGCTATAAATAGAAGGGCATTCCACTAACATCCTTCTGGACAAATAAACGTTGTATTGGAAAGGCTGAGACTTGTTCCCATAAAAATGCATTAAAACTTCAGTGCCTGCTTGGGACATATTTGAATCTGCCCTGTAGTATTTCAGGAGATTGTAAAAAGAAACTTTTTGAAATATGATATAGAAGGAAACATATAATCAAAAATAAGCTCTGGGCATTGGTCATCAAAATAAAGACGAGTAAGGAAGAGCATCAAAATTGAAAATTATCCTTTAGTTTTCCCCAGGAGGAAATTGGTTATGTGATATATTTAAATGTACGTTTAATTTGAAGATAATTTTCAAGAGGGAGAGGAAAATGTCTGTATTTTAATTTCCAGTAAGCGCTCCAGCTAAAATTGATCACTTAATAACTTTAGCTCACTTCTGTTCACTTGACCTTTGTACAAAAGTTTTTAAAAGATCTTGGGTCAAAAAAGGCCAGATAGGTTTTCTTTCCTCTTCTTTTTTGAATGGACAGAAACATGACAATATACCATATACTTCTTAGGCCCATGTGGAATACTTTTACTTTAGGGGAAATTTCTACATTTTTCAAAATTCACATTATGTTTTAAATTAGCCTGAGGACTCAACTAGATATTAGCACGACCAGTTAAATAAAAGCATGTAGAAAATATTTGGCTTTATATTCCACTTTGAAATTTCATTGCCGCTTCTTACAATTGCATCTAACTTTACTTACTCAGAGTATCTCCATGATTAAAAAGAATATTTGGCAAAATAATTAATATATAAAAATGGTCATAAATGTTGCTAACTCCTTATCATTATTGCCTTATTTTGTTAAATTTATGCCATTTGTGAAATGACACTCTCTAAATTGTTTTATTGCAATATTTATTTTGAATGTGTACATGATCTTGCTATCAAAATATTGGAATGGATTGATGTGAATCTCATGCTCCATGTAGATTGAAAGACATAATGAAACTGAAAATATTTGCCTTATTGACACAATGATCTAAAAATACAAATTTGACAAATACACTTGTCAATCATTCAAAAAAATATGAATCTCCTTCTGCCTCTCCCTCTTTTATTCCCACTTAATTTTTCCTCTTCTTCCTGGCTTTATTCATTATGTAAGGTGAAGAAGAGTATATTTTCAAAAATACTAATGTAAACTTTTTCACTTTAGGTACACCCCCAGATAAACATCTCTTAGGAAGTTTGTACATGTTGACATTAAGTGTTGTCGATGTGCCAAACCATGAAAAATGAACTTGCCTTTTCAAAGATTAACCTGCTATCACTGTAACTTTCAGCTGATAAGCCAAATAATTCAGGAAATTTAAAATAAACATGTTTTGTAGTTCTCCTTGTAGAGATCTTTCACCTCCTTGGTTAGCTGTATTTCTAGGTATTTCAGTTTCATTGTGGCTATTGTACAGGATTGTTTACTTGATTTTACTCTCAGCTTGGACTTTGTTGGTCTATAGAGATGCTACTGATTTTTGTACAATGATTTTGTACCCTGAAACTTTGCTGAAGTTGTTTATTAGATCAAGGAGGTTTTATGCAGAGACTATGAGGTTTTCTAGGAATAGAATTATATCATCAGCAAAGAGAAATAGTTTGACTTCTTCTTTTCCTGTTTGGATCCCTTATATTTCTTTCTCTTGCCTGATTTCTCTTGCTAGGACTTCCAGTTCTATGTTCAATAGGTGAGAGTGGACATCCTTGTTCCAGTTTTCAAAGGTAATGGTTCAAGCTTTTGCCCATTCAGTTTGATGTTGGCTGTGGGTTTGTCATAGATGGCTTTTATTATTTTGAAGTATATTCTTCCAATGCCTAGTCTGTTGAGAGTTTTTATCATGAAGAGATGTTGGATTTTATCAAAAGTTTTTCCTGCTTCTTTTGACATAATTATATGGTTTTTCATTTTAATGCTGTTTTTGTGGTGAATCGCATTTATTGATTTGTGTATGTTGAACCAATCTTGCATCCCAGAAAAAAGCCTACTTAACTGTGATGTAATAACTTTTTGATTTGCTGTGGGATTCAAATAACTAATTTTTTTTGAGGATTTTTTCATCTATATTCATGGGGGATATTGGTCTGCAGTTTTCTTTACTTTCATTGTCTCTCTGCCAGATTTTGGTATCAGGCTAATCCTGGCTTCATAGAATGAGTTAGGGAGGAACTCCTTCTTGACTTTTTGGAATACTTTCAATAGGATTGGTATCAGTTCTTTGTAAATCTGGTAGAATATGGCTGTGAATCCCTCTGGTCCAGGACTTTTTTTGGTTGATAGGTTCTTTATAACTGATTCAATTTCAGAAGTTGATGTTAGTCTATTCAGGATTTCAATCTCTTTCTGATTCAATCTTGGGAGACTATGTGCTTCCAGGGATTTAACCATATCCTCTAGATTTTTTAATTTGTGTGCATAGTGTTATTCATAGTAGTATCTGAAGACCTTTTGTATTCTTGTGGGATCAGTTGTAATGTCACCTTTGTTTATTCTGATTGTGCTTATTTGGATCTTCTCTTTCTTTTTCTTTATTACTCTAGTTAGGGGGTCTATCAATCTTTTTTTTTTTTTGAAGAATAAGCTCTGGATTGAACCATCCTTTGTATGAATTTTTGCATCTCAATTTTATTCAGTTCTTCTCTAGTTTTAGTTATTTCTTTTCTTCCGCTAGCTTCAGAGTTGGTTTGGTTTATTTTTCTAGTTTTTTTTTTTGTAGGTACAAAGATAGACTGTTAATTTGAGACATTTATAACTTCTTGATAAAGATGTGTCGGGCTATAAACTTTCCTCTTCACGCTGCTTTGGCTGCATCCCAGCGATTTTGGTAAATTTTGTTTCTATTTTTATTAATTTCAAATATTTTTTAAATTTTTTCCTTAATTTTGATGTTCACCCATGAGTTACTCAAGGAGTAAGTTGTTTAATTTTTATGTGTTTGCATAGTTTTGGGAGAGCTTCTTGGTATTTATTTCTATTTTTTTTGTGCCATGGTCCAAGAGTATGCTTGGTATGATTTATTTTTTTTTAATTTATTGGATCTTGCTTTATGACTGAGAATATGGTTGATCTTAGAATCTGTTCTGTGGGCAGATGAGAAGAATGTATATTCTATGGCTGTTGGGTGGAGTGATCTGTAGATGTCTATTAGGTCCAATTGGTAAAGCATCAAGTTTAAGTCCAGAGTTTCTCTGTTAGTTTTTTGCTTCAATGATCTGTCTAACACTGGAAGTGGGATATTGAAGGTATCCACTATTATTATGTGATTGTCTAAGTTTTTATTGTAGGCCAAGAAGAAGGTGTTTCATGAATCTGGTTGCTCCAAGGTTGAGTGTATATATACACATATTAGTTAAAGCTTCTTGTTGGATTTTTACCCTTTATCATTATGTAACACCCTTAGTTGTCCTTCTTAATTTTTACTGGTTTAAAGTCTGTTATAATTGATCTAAGAATACTGGCTCCTGCTCTTTTATGTTTTTAATTTGCATGATAGATTTTACTCCACCCTTTTACTTTGAGCCTGTGTCACTACATAAATGGAGAAACATTCCATGCTTATGGATAGGAAAATTGATATAATAAAAACGGCCATACTGCCCAAAGAAATTTACAGATTCAATGCTATTCCTATAAAATGACTAACATTACTTTTCACAG
The DNA here is from genome assembly GCF_000001405.40 of Homo sapiens. Taxonomy (NCBI): domain Eukaryota; kingdom Metazoa; phylum Chordata; class Mammalia; order Primates; family Hominidae; genus Homo; species Homo sapiens. Next base: position 103,951,579 of record NC_000006.12, on the reverse strand, counting down.
AATTAGAAAAAACTATCCTAAAATTCACACAGAACGCAAAAAGAGCCTGAAGAGCCAAAGCAATCTTAAGCAAAAATAACAAAGCCGAGGCATCACACTATCTGACTTCAAACTGTATTACAAGACTACAGTAACCAAAAAACTCATAAATAAATGAGGATATAAAACTCATGAATAAATCTGCACATCTACAGCCATATGATCTTCAACAAGGCCAATGAAAACAAGCAGTGAGGAAAGGACTCCTTATTCAATAAATGGTGCTGGAATAACGATAGCTATATGTGGAAGATTTCACCATACACAAAAATTAACTCAAGATGGATTAAAGATTTAAATGTAAGACCTCAAACTATAAGAATCCTGGAAGACAACCTAGGAAATACTCTTCTCAACATTGGCTTTGGCAACAAGTTTTTGGCTAAGTTCCAAAAAGTAATTGCAACAAAACGAAAAATAGGCAAGTATGACCTGATTAAACTAAAGAGCTTCTGCACAGCAAAAGAAACTATCAACAGAGCAAACAATCTATAGAATGAGAGAAGATATTCACAAATCATGCATCTGACAAGGACCTAATATACAGAATATAGGGAACTTAAATCAACAAGCGTAAAACAAATAACCCCATTAAAAATAGGCAAGGGATATGAACAGATACTTTTTAAAAAAGACATACACATGGCCAATAAATATGTGAAAAAAATGCTCAGTTTCACTGATCATCAGATAAATGCAAATCAAAACCATAATGAGATATAATCGCACACCAGTCAGAATGGCTATTACAAAAAAGTAAAAAAAAAACAAAAAACAAAAAACAGTAGATGCTGGTGAGACTGCAGAGAACAGGGAATACTTATACACTGTTGGTAGAAATATAAATTAGTTCAGGCACTGTGGAAAGCATCTTGGAAATTTCTTAACTCAAAAGAGGGTTACCATTTGTCCCCACAATCTCATTATTGAGTATATTCTCAAAAGAAAATACGTCATCCTACCAAAGAGACTCATGCACTTGCATGTTCATTGCTGTTACATTCACATTAGCAAAGACAAAGAATCAACCCGGGTGCCATCAGTAATAGATTAGATCAAGGAAATGTAATACATATACACCATGGAATACTATGCAGTGGCAAAAAAGAATGAAATCATGTCCTTTGCAGCAATATGGAAGCAGCTGTAGTTCTCAACCCCAAGCAAATTAATGCAGGAATAGAATACCAAATACTGCATGTTCTCATTTATAAGTGGGAGCTAAACCTTGAGCACATATGGACATAAATATGGGAATAATAGACACTGAGGACCACTAGAGGTTGAAGGAGGCAGTTAAAAAACTGCCTATTGGGTACCATCCTCACTACCTAGCTGATGAGATTCATACTCCAAACAGTAGCATCACGCAATATTCCCATGTAACAAGTCTGCAAATGTACCCTCAGCATATAAAATAAAAGTTGAAATCAATGTGTATGAAGTAGAACTCACCCTTCTCTTACACAAAAACTAACCTCAAACTGAAACTCCTTTTCTATCAGCTTCATTTATTCACTCCTCTGTCTTTTAGACAAAAGTAAACTGAACTGAAATGGGCATTTAAAGTATCAGAAATTTAATTTTATGTGACCTCAGGTTTGAATAAGGTATTGAACATTATTTTGTTCAGGGTTTCCTAAACTTGACTGGTTATTGAAATAGCAGTTGAGGGTTTAAAAATGTGTATTCTTAGATCCCAGCTGAGATACACTGAATCAAAATATAGATGCATAAGATTTGTATTTTACAATACACTTCTCTGGACATTATGAGGATTAGTAAGGTTTGGGAAACACTGCTAAAACAAAGGTATAAATAAAGTGCTGCTGACTCACACAGACTGGATTGACTAGCTAAGGGAAGGAGTGAAGATGGTAGTAGCTCTAAAGAAGAGCTATCCTTTGAATGAGTTGGAAATATAAGTTGAATTTCAATAAGTAGATATGAGCACTGTAATAGTTGCTGGGATTGACTGAACATCTACAGTATGCCATGCATCATGCAGAACATTTGCAAATTTTAATTATTTTTTTATTTTTATTTTTTATTTTTGAGATGGAGTCTCACTCTGCCACCCAGGCTGGAGTGCAGTGGTGCGATCTCGGCTCACTGCAAGCTCCACCTCCCAGGTTCATGCCATTCTCCTGCCTCAGCCTCCCGAGTAGCTGGGACTACAGGCACCCACCACCACACCCTGCTAATTTTTTGTATTTTTAGTAGAGATGGGGTTTCACCATGTTAGCCAGGATGGTCTCGATCTCCTGACCTCATGATCCACCCGCCTCGGCCTCCCAAAGTGCTGAGATTACAGGCGTGAGCCACCGCGCCCAGCCTAATTATTTAAACCTCACCAAAATATGAAGACAGGTACTATTATTATCCATATTATTCTGATGAAAGAAAGAGGATGAGTAGTAACCTGATTTAGGTCAAACAGCTTGTTACTGATAGCAACGTTTAATCCCAGGTTTGTTTGCTTTAGCAGCATGCTAGTTTGCTTGTAGCAACTCCAGACTTTAGGGACAAGTTAAGGTTCCCTTCACTTATTCTGTCCTCATTCTCCCAGAGGAAGGTACAAGGACAAACAAGCCAATCCTGGGTACTGGCAGTAGCAGGAACAAATTTAATCCTCTTATTTTCTGCTCTCTTGATTGGCCTTATCCCCAGTCTTGTCTTCTATGAGTTATTATATTGCACTGTGCTGACTTTTCCTCTCTTTCATTTGAAGCAGTACATAACTGATAAAGCAAAGTGTGTCCCATGGCTTTGTTCATGGGAATAATCTTCCCTACTTTGTGAGCAATCCTTCCCTACTGTCCCAAGCTTGCTCTGGAAAAGCAGGCAAGACCAGAGTGGGTTCCATGCAAAACGGCATATAGAAAATAAGTCATTTATGCCTTCTACTAATACAATGGTGATATGGTTTGGCCGTGTCCCACCCAAACCTCACCTTGAAATGTAGTTCCCCTAATCTCCATGTGTCATGGGAGGGAACCAGTAGGAGGTAATTGAATCCTGGGATCAATTAACCCCATGCTGTTCTTGTGATAGTGAACTCTCACAAGAGCTGATGGTTTTATAAGGGGAAGGGGCTTTTCCGCCTTTTCTCGGCACTTCTCTCTCCTGCTGCCATGTGAAGAAGGATGTGTTTGCTTCCCCTTCTGCCATGATTGTAAGTTTCCTTAGGCCTCCCTAGCCATGCAGAACTGTGAGTTAATTATACCTCTTTCCATTATGATTTACCTAGTCTCCGGAAGTTCTTTATAACAATGTGAGAATAGACTAGTACAAATGTTCTTCACATGAGGTAAGCACACTTTTGGTGGCACATGAAAATTTTCAAGTGGGTGATCAGGCACAGATTTAAGAATGTCTATTTTCAGATTCTCAACTTCTACATGTTTTCTTGAAGAGCCTGGGGTAGAGGCATCATGCTGGTTCTTCTTTCTAACTCTGCTTTCTCCTACTTTCCCAAATAATTTTTACCTTTCTCACAACCTGAGATCTTCTGGATGATAAACAAAGAAAATATTTAAGTAGTGGTGCCAAAGAAGCCTCCTTTAATAAAAGCACCATATCATTGCCCTTATCTTGGAAACATACATCCTCCCAAGACCGAACCAGGAAGAAATTAAATCCATTAACAGACCAATAGTGAGCTCCAAAATTGAATCAATAATAAATAGCCTATGAATCAAAAAAAGCCCAATACCAGGCACATTCACAGCTACATTCTACCAGATGCACAAAGAAGAGTTGGTATCATTCCTATTGAAACTGTTCCAGAACAATGGAGAGAAGAGACTCATCCCTAACTCATTTTATAAGGCCAGCATTATCCTGAATCAAAAACCTGGCAGAGACACACACACACAAAATAAAACTTCAGGCCAATATCTTTGATGTACATAGATGCAAAAATCCCCAACAAAATACCAGCAAACCAAATCCAGCAGCACATGAAAAAGCTAACCAACCACAATCAAGTAGGCTTTATCACTGGGTTTGCAAGTTTGGTTCAACATATGCAAATCAATAAATGTGAGTCATCACATAAACAGAACTAAAGACAAAAACCACATGATTATCTCAATAGATGCCTGAAAGGCTCTTGACAAAATTCGACTTCCCTTCATGTTAAAAACATTCAATAAACTATGCATTAAAGAAACATATTTCAAAATAATAAGAGCCATCTATGAGAAACCCACAGCCAACATCATACTGAATGGGCAAAAGCCAAAAACATTCCCCTTGAAACCCAGAACAAGACAAGGATGCCCACTCTTGCCACTCCTATTCAATATAGTATTCAATCCTGGTTAGAGAAATCAGGAAAGAGAAGGAAATAAAAGTAATCCAAATAGGAAGAAAGGAAGTGAAACTATCCCTGTTTACAGATGACATGATTCTATGTCTTGAAAATTCCATAATTTCTACCTAAAAGCCCCTTGATCTGATAAACAACTTCAGCAAAATTTCAGGATATAAAATCAATGTACAAAACTCAGTAGCATTCCAATGCACTAGCAGTACCCAAGCAGAGAGTGAAATCAGGAACACAATTCTCATTCACAATTGCCACAAAAATAAGAATATACCTAGGAATACAGCTTAACCAGGAAGGTAAAAAACCTCTACAATGAGAATTACAAAACATTGCTGAATGAAATCAGAGATGACAGAAACAAATGGAAGAACAATTCATTCTCATGGATAAGAAAAATCAGTGTTGTTAAAATAGCCATAATGCCTATTGCAACTTACAGATTCAATGCTGTTCTTATCAATCTACCAATGATATTCTTTACAGAACTAGAAAAACTGTTCTAAAATTCATATGGAACCAAAAAAGAGACCTAATAGCAAAGGCAATCCTAAGCAAAAAGAACAAAGCTGGAAGAATAACATTGCCCAACTTCAAATTGTACCACAAGGCTACAGTAACCAAAGCACTGTGGTGCTGGTAAACACAAATACATAGAACAATGGAACAGCCACACACCTACAATCATCTGATTTTTGACAAAGCTTACAAAAACCAGCAATGGAGAATGGATTCACTATTCAATAAATGATGTTGGGATAACAGACTAGCTATGTGCAGAAGATTGAAAATGGACTCCTTCCTTATACCACATTCAAAAATCAACTCAAGATGGATTAAAGACCAAAATGTAAAACCTAAAACTATAAACACTCTGGAATATAACCTAGGAAATACTATTTTGGACATAGGAAATGGCAAAGATTTCATGACAAAAACACCAAAAGCAATTGCAACAAAAGCAAAATTTGACAAATGGAACCTAATTAAATTAAAGAGATTCTGCAAAGCCAAAGAAATTGTCATCAGAATCAGAGTAAACAGGCAATTTACAGAATGGGAGAAAATATTTGCAAAGTATACATCTGACAAAAGTCTAATATCCAGAATCCACAAGAGACTTAAACAAATGTACAAGCAAAAACACAAACAACCTTATTAAAAAGTGGACAAAGAACATGAACAAACACTTTTGAAAAGAAGACCTACGTGTGGCCAACTGGCATATGAAAAATTGCTCAATATCACTAACCATCAGAGAAATGCAAATCAAAACCACAATGAGATACCATCTCACACCAGTCAGAATGGCTATTATTAGAAAATAAAAAAAAATAGAGATATCGGTGAGGTTGTGGAGAAAAGGGAACATTTATTCACTATTGGTTAGAGGTAAACTAGTTCAACCATTGTGGAAAGCAGTGTGGTGATTCATCAAAGAACTAAAAGCAGAATTACCACTTGACCCTCCAATCCCACTACTGGATATATACCCAAAGGAATATAATTAGTTATATCATAAAGACAATTGCACATGCATGTTTATTGCAGCACTATTTACAATAGCAAAGACATGGATTCAACCTAAATGTCCTTCAACAGGAGACTGGATAAAGAAAATTTGGTACAAATACACCATGGAATACTATGCAGCCATATAAAGAATGAGATCATGTCCTTTGCAGTAACATGGATGGAAACGGAGGTCATTATCTTTAGCAAGCTAATGCAGGAACAGAAAACCAAGTACTGCATATTCTTATTTATAGGTGGGAGCTAAATAATGAGAACACGTGGACAGTTATATATTTTATTGTTTATGCCTAAAAGTTATATTAACAGTTTTATATATAAATTTTCAGTAAAATATAGTAGAAACAACCTTCTTTAAACATAATGAGAAAAAAATTGAATGCTAATGTGAGAAGGAGAGGTGGTACATTTTTCAAACTTCTTTAACAGGGTTGTTATTGGCTGAATTATATTCCTCCAAAATTCATATGTTGAAGCCTTAAACATCAATACCTCAGAATGTAACTGTATTTGGAGATAGGTCTGTTAAATATGTAATTAAATTGAGGTCATTAGGATGGGTCCTAATCCAATAAGATTGATGTCCTTAGAAAAAGAGGCAAACTGGGCCTGGTGTGGTGGCTCACACCTGTAACCCCAGCACTTTGGGAGGCTGAGGTGGGCAGATCACAAGGTCAGGGATTTGAGACCAGGCTGGCCAACATCGTGAAATCCCGTCTCTACTAAAAATACAAAAATTAGCTGGGTGTGGTGGCACGCACCTGTAGTCCCAGCTACTCGGGAGGCTAAGGCAGGAGAATTGCTTGAACCTGGGAGGCAGAGGTTGCAGTGAGCCTAGACTGTGCCATTGCACTCCAGCCTGGGTAACAGAGCAAGACTTCATCTCAAAAAACAAAAACAAAACAAACAAACACAAAAAGAAAAGCAAAAAAAAAAAAAAAGAAAAGAAAAAGAAAAAAAAAGAGAGAGAGGCAATCTGGATGCATATACATACAGAAGGAAGATTATGTAAGGACACAGGAAGAAGATGGCCATCCTGTGGCTAAGCCAACAGGAGAGAGGCTTGAGAGTAAATGGAAATAGAAAAGGAAATGGTCTTGGAATACTATGCAGCCATAAAAAATGATGAGTTCATGTCCTTTGTAGGGACATGGATAAAATTGGAAATCATCATTCTCAGTAAACTATCGCAAGAACAAAAAACCAAACACCGCATATTCTCACTCATAGGTGGGAATTGAACAATGAGATCACATGGACACAGGAAGGGGAACATCACACTCTGGGGACTGTTGTGGGATGGGGGGAGGGGGGAGGGATAGCATTGGGAGATATACCTAATGCTAGATGACGAGTTAGTGGGTGCAGCACACCAGCATGGCACATGTATACGTATGTAACTAACCTGCACAATGTGCACATGTACCCTAAAACTTAAAGTATAATAATAAAAAAAAAAAAAAAGAAAGGAAAGGAAATGGTCTAATCATTACAAACCAAGAAGAGAGGCCTGGAACAGAGCCTTTCCTCACAGCCCTTAGAAGGTACCAACCCTGCCAACACCTTGATCTCAGACTTATAGCCTTCAGAAGTGAGACAATACATTTCTATTGTTTAGGCCACCCAGTTGGTGGTAATTTATTAGGGCTGCCCTAGCAAACAAATACAAGGGTCTTCAAAGCAAGTATATTTGAGACCATCTTTATAATCTAGGCTGAAAGGATTTTCCTAATTTATGGAGCAACCAACAGAGAAGAAACTTGCCCAGGCCTTAGAGGAAGCCTCATAGTAATGAAAAAAGAGCACTTGCTTTGAATGGTCCCCCTACATACATTCCCTGGAGGTCTGTGATTGCAGCAGACTTAAACCTAAACCTTTCATCATGACCTACAAAATGGCGTCAATTGTGCTTAGTCTGAAGACTTTACATTTATACTTAAAGCTCAAAATTGAATGATGAAGTGATAAATTAATGGTATGAGACATAAGTTGCAAATAAGATAATAAAGCTTATCTACTTAGGAACAAGAGATCAGTCAAAATTAGCTACTTTGACTCCGGCAACAATATAGAGATCCTTATAAAAACAGCTCTTTTTTATTATGGTTTTCCATAGCTTGATTTTCTTACTTGAAGAGAGATTTTCTTTTTTAATAAGGAAGCTTGATTAGTGCTTTTGTGTGGAGGGAGGGTTAGGAGATGTTTTTTCTTGAGGAAAAGACCCTAATTTAATGTTGTTTTCTGCTCCCTTTGTTCATTTATTTTTGATGTTCAAAACTAATTTCTTCCTCAACAGGCAATCTTCAGTTGGAAATATCCCTGTTGACCTCTGTCTTCGGTTTTGTGTAAAAATGTTTGTGTGCCATTTTTTAAGTTCACAAGTCTAATTTTCTCCCCAGAGGGTGTTCACAGTTTCTTCAAAGACTTCAGTGCTTATCTGTTGTTTGAAGTTTTTTTTAATGGCTCACACATTTTGCCTTGAAGGTCTCCCCTGGTCAGCTCGATGAAGAAAAGGAGACCTGAATAAGCTTGCTCAGAACTGACTGTTGTTAATTAGGGAGGTTAGAACACAGTATATTTCACTCTGCTGTTTTCACTTCCAATAGTTTTACCCAGTATCTAAATTGGAAGCAGCAGGTGTCTGATCTGAAAATAAATATTTTTTTCTGTTTTTGATCTCAACCTTTTAAACTTAGAGATGATAGCACTAAAATACAATTTATTTTTTAAAGCAAATTCTAGAATATTATTGGCAAATAGGCCTCTACTGTATGAGATCATAAAAGCCTAGATTCTTATTAATAGTAGGATTAATTTTCCAGGTTTGCAATGCTAGAACATTCTGACTAATTTCTGTATAGCTCAGAGTCTTCTAATATTCATTTTATTGTATGGATGATTAAAATGGTCAATTAAACACACTGATAAACAACATCATTAGAAGGGGTCAAGAAGGAGCACATATATGAGAAGCTAACTGCCCTATCCATGCACCCTCACTACTCAGGCCTATCCTCAGCCTTGCAATTTTCAAGACCCGTTTTATCATGCCCATTGTTTTTATTTGTGAAGGTCACTATGCTATTTCTCTTCCAATAGACTCCAATCTTGACTGAGTTTTGTGCAATTCCTGTTTTCATCTCTTGAAACACTTTCACTGTGTTTTTGGGTCATTCCCTGTATCTTTTTACTCTGTGAAATTTTCTTCACCTTCTTGCTTTTCTCTGTTGAAACCCATCTCTCTTCTAAAGACACTGCTTTCTTTGCATCACTTCTTTTTTTTTTTTTTTTTTTTTTTTGAGATGGAGTCTTGCTCTGTTGCCTAGGCTGGAGAGCAGTGATGCCATCTCGGCTCACCACAAACTCTGCCTCACGGGTTCAAGCAATTCTCTGCCTCAGCCTTCCGAGTAGCTGGGATTACAGGTGTCTGCCACCACATCTGGTTAATTTTTTTTTCTTGTATTTTTAGTAGAGACGGGGTTTCATCATCTCGGCCAGGCTGGTCTTGAACTCCTGACTTCATAATCCACCCGCCTCAGCCTCCCAAAGTGCTGGGATTACAGGCGTGAGCCACCACGCCTGGCTTCTTTGCATCACTTCTAAGTGGTGTATGTTCTTTGCTGCATCTCTTGGACCTTTGGGCTTGGAGATGGGAAGGTCTTTTTCTTGTTCCTCTTTCCAACTTCCAGTAATTCTCCCTGTCTTATCTCTAAAAGCCAGCTGCATGATGCTCTTGTCATGAAACGTTATTACTATCCTGCCTTGTCATAAGTCATCTACTTATCCTGACCTGCCTCCTTTCCCATTTTAGTCACTTGTCTTCGTTTCTTAATGATTTTGGTTCATGACTTAGCACAACTCTAACACAGGCTAGATCTTTATTTTTGGAGATTTCAAAATCAATGTAGATTCTTATTCCAATCCCCTAGCCTCTTGTTCCTTAAACTTCTCTGCTTCTGCAATCCTGTCATCAGCTGCTCACTTTCATGCCATGTTCTAGACCTTGTCATTAAAAATAACTATATCCCCTCTAAAATCTCACAGTGAAGCATCCCGTTCTTCTGACCACCCTGTTCTGTCTTTCCAGTTCCTTCCCTCTCCTAGCCCAAATCCAATAAACCTCTGACCAAGTAAATGCAAAATTCACTGATCTTATGACTTTAGACATTACTTTCTCTCTTTCCTATTATTAATCATAAATTTCATAATTTAGTACTACATTTACTTCTTTGATTATATTCCCACTTCCCTTGCTTCAAGCTCTTCTCTTGACTAAAACACAACCTCGGTTAAAATCAAATTTTCTCCTATGGCAGGCATACATTCTTGTAACTGAACATGGCTGAAAAACAAAACAAACACAGATACATACTGATTGTCTAATCTTAGATTCATGATCAGTATGAGGTCTGGCACTCATATTTCCCATGTCAATTAATCTCCCACTCTTCAAGATAATTTGTTACTTTCTTCTCTTTCATAGACTTCTAAAATCATTCTACCATCGCTCAGCTGATGAGCATGTTCTTTATATCATGAGAAAACTAGAGAAACTTAAAAGATAACTTTTGCCCCCTCACCACATTTACCCATCTATGCCCACAGACTCTCCCTTCCCTCTTGTTACAGCGGATGAACTCTTAGTGTACTTCTCTAAGTTGCTCTTTATGTGTGCATGAGATCCCATCCCCTCAAGTCGACTCAAGAGCATATTCTAGCAATTTGTTTTTTCCCTTTTGCAACTATACTCTTTTCAATTCGATGTTTCTCATCTCTCTATAAGAGTTCTTTTGTTTCCCTGTGTACAGTGGTAACATCAACAAATGAGAACATAAATTTCCTTTGGATTTTTTTCTCTTTCCCCCATTTTTCTCTTTCCTTTAAAACGCCAATTCCTTGAAAGAGTTTCCTAGTATCCTCTTCACTAATTCCTCCTCTAGCATTGTTTCTTCAATCACTATAATCAGGATTCTTCTCTCACATTGTGTTAGGCCATTCTTGCAGTGCCATAAAAAATGCCTGAGGCCAGGTAATTTATTTAAAGAAGAGGTTTTATTGGCTCACAGTTATGCAGGCTGTACAGAAAGCACAGCACCAGCATCATCCTGGCTTCTTGGGAGGCCTCAGGAAGCTTCCAATTATGGCAGAAAGAGAAAGGGGACCAGGCATCTCACATGTAGGAGCATGTGAGATGGGGGAGGTGCCACACACTTTAAAAAATCCAGATCTCATAAGAACTCACTCACTATCATGTGGACAGCACAAGCCAGGAAAGATCCTCCTCCATGACCCAAACACCTCCTGCCAGCCCCCACCTCCAACACTGGGAATTACAATTCAACACGAAATTTGCCAAGGGCATATATTCAAACTATATCACACATCTTCAATCAAACTATTTCAATCAATTTCACCAGTACCCTCTAACAAAATTCCTATAACCAAGCGTGAATTCTGACTTCATCTTATTAAACTTTCTGTAGTATTTGACATGGTTGATAATTCTGTCCCCATTTGATTTCTAGCTGTTATAGTAGTTATACTTTTTTTCTTATTCTTCTTTACTATCTACACTTCCTCTCCCTGACCTTTTAACATGGGAGTATACAAGGCCTTAGTCATTGGACCGCTTTCCTTTTCTATTTCCATTTACTCTCTTGATTCTTGATGACTTCTTTCTGTGTCAAGATTTTGAAAATACTGACCACTCTTACATTTACATCTTCAGCTCAGGCCAGTCCCTAAATTCAAGAATCAGATATTTACCTGCCTTCTAGTATCTTCACTTACATTCTCAACTCCCTTATTTATAATCTACATATCAAACATATATCCAAAACTAAACTTTTAATGCCACCAGCTTTCTATTACTACTATCTAATTTTGGAATTTTTAAATCAACTTCAAAAGAAACCCTATACTCATTAGCAGTCATTCCCCACTTTTGTCCTTCCTCTGCCACTGGTAACTACCAATCTGCTTATTTCTATGGATTTGCCTATTCTAGAAATTTTATATAAATATGATCCTATAGTATGTGGCCCTTTGTGTCTGGCTTCTTTCGTTTAGCAAAATGTCTCCAAGCTTCTGCCATGTTGTATCAGTAATCCATTCCTGTTTATGGCTGAATTAATATTTCATGGTGAACTCACAGTGTTCTCCAGCTTAGTAAATGGCAAGTCAATCTTTTCATTTGCTAATATTGTGATATAGTTTGGGTATGTGTCTCCACCCAAATTTCATGTTGAATTGTAATCCCCAGTGTTGGAGGTAGGGCCTGGTGGGAGGAAATTAGATCATGAAGGTGGATTTCTCATGAATGGTTTAGCACCGTCCCCTTGATGCTGTCCTCATGACAATCAGTTCTCATGAGATCTGGTCATTTAACCCTTTTCCTGTTTAACAAAAATAAAACTGCAAATCACTGGCAGTGCTCTTTTAATTTCACTAAACATGCTCTTTGAAGCTGAAGCAAACCTGACTGATTTTTAATGTGAAAATAAAATATAAAAACTGTTCTTGGCTGGGCATGGTGGCTCAAGCCTGTAATCCCAGCACTTTGGGAGGCCGAGGGGGGCGGATCACGAAGTCAGGAGATCGAGACCAACCTGGCTAACACGGTGAAACCCCATCTCTACTAAAAATATAAAAAAATTAGCTAGGCGTGGTGGCGGGCACCTGTAGTCCCAGCTACTAGGGAGGCTGAGGCAGGAGAATGGCATGAACCTGGGAGACGGAGCTTGCAGTGAGCCAAGATCGTGCCAATGTACTCCAGCCTGGGCTACGGAGCAAGACTCCGTCCCCCCCAAAAAAAAAAATGTTCTTGGAGCTATTTCTAAACAGAAGTAACGTCAGAATCATCTATTTTGGAAAAATCAGGTTCATTAAATTAATCTTTGGCCAACAGCTGTTTGAGAATGATGTCAACATCACACGTAGGAGTGCTGTTTTCTAGGATTTGACATTTTCAGTGATCAATGATTACTATATTTTGTAAATGGAAATACCACTACTAAAAACAGAATGCTATAAATAGAATGATGCCTTTTGTTTCCAAAGTCAATATGCTAGAGCGATGTGAAAATAACAATCAAAGTGAGATATTTTGTGGCAAAGTTATCTTGGGGCAAACATTGCAACCACAAGGGCCACTGGTGAGTATACTCAGTGCTGATGGGAAAGGGGTTAAAAGTATGTAGCAACTCCCAACTATGTCTCTTGCTCCTGGCTCCTGCCTCGTGACCTCTTCCTCGCCCCTTGTCTTCTGCCATGATTGGAAATCCCTGAGGCCTCTCCAGACGCAGCAGCTGCTATGTTTCCTGTACAGCCTACTGAAACCTGAGCCAATTGAAACTCTTTTCTTTATAAATTACCCAGTCTCAGGTACTTCTTTATAGCAATGTGAGAATGGACTAATACATCTTGTTAACACTATCTTGAAAATATACTCCAAATCTGACCACCTTTGGCTACTGTTTTAGTTATTTATTTTTTTTTGAGACAGAGTCTCGCTCTGTCGCCCAGGCTAGAGTGCGGTGGCGTGATCTCGGCTCACTGCAACCTCCTCTTCCCGGGTTCAAGCAGTTCTCCTGCCTCAGCCTCCTGAGTAGCTGGGATTACAGGCGCCCGCCACCACGCCCAGCTAATTTTTGTATTTTTAGTAGAGACGGGGTTTAATCACGTTGGTCAGGCTGGTCTCGAACCCCTGACCTCATGATCCATCCCCCTCGGCCTCCCAAAGAGCTGGGATTACAGACGTGAGCCACCGTGCTCTGCCCACCTTTGGCTACTTTCAATGGTCGAGTCACTAAAATTTCTTCATTTTTGTAAAAGGCCTTCTTACATCTGTCCTGGGCTCTTTCAGTGTATTCTTAATATAGCATCTGGAGTAATTCTATTGTTTTTAAAGTAAAATGAGAGTACTTATTATTAATTAAATAAAATAATTTGTTCAGATTTTCTTAATTTTTACTTATTCTCCATTTTCTTCTGTAGGTTTCCCTCCAGGATATTACATTACTTTTCATTGTCATATCTCCTTAGCCTCTTTTTAACAATTTCTCAGACTTAACCTTGTTTTTGATGACCTTGACAGTTTAGGGGATTGCTGATGAGGTCTATTTTAAGATGCCTCTTTGATATAGTTTGGATATTTGTCCCCACCCAAATCTCATATTTAAATGTAATCCTCAGTGTTGGAGGTGGGGCCTGGTGGGAGCTGTTTGGGTCCTGGAGGTGGATCCCTCATGTCTTGGTGCTTTCCTCATGGTAATGAGTGAGTTCTTGAGAGAGATTTGGTTGTTTATATGTGGTGTCTCCCTGCTCCTCTTTTGCTTCCTTTCACCATGTGACATGTCTGCTTTAGCTTCACACTTTGCCATGAGTGAAAGCTCCTGGAGGTCTCCACAGAAGCTGAGCAGATGCTGGTGTCATGCTTACTGTACAGCCTGCAGAGCCATGAGTCAATTAAACTTCTTTTCCTTAGAAATTACTTAGCCTCAGGTATTTCTTTTATAGCAACACAAGAATGGCCTAATACACTCTACTGGAATTTATCTGATAGTTTTTTCATGACTAGATTGGAGTTATGAAAATTGGGGAGGAAGATTGCAGATGTAAACTGCCATTTTCATCCATTATATCAAAGCTATATGCTCTCAGCACAATTTATGGCTCTTGATGCTGAACTTTATCACCTGCTGAAGTAGTGTTTTTCATGTTTCTCCACTGCAAAGTTACACCTTTTAATCCCTTTCCAAACTGTATTTTTTGGAAGGAAGTCACTGCGCACAGCTCACATTTAAAAAGCTGAGAGTTATAATTCATTTAAGGGGGTGTCCTTAGATAATCTGCTAGGAATTCAGCACAGATTTTTCTCTTTTCCCCAGTTTCTTTAATAATTTGATAATTTATTTATGTCGATATGTGCTCACTGATATTTCTTTTATACTTTGAATTTTCATCAGTACTAATTTATTTATTTTGTTACTCAAATTACCACAGCTTTGGCCATCAGAGGCCCTTTCAGTTGGCTTCTGTGTACATTAATCTATCCACCCTGCCAATTTTCTGTGTGTGCTTTCTTCACCTCCTTCCTCCTCCTCCTCCTCCGCCTCTTCTTCTTCTTCTTCTTCTCCTCCTCCTCCTCCTCCTCCTCCTCCTCCTCCTCCACCTTCATTTTTGTTTTGAGCAAGTTCTTATTTTTTAGTGCCACAAAATGGTTCAAGCTCATCTTGTATGCTTATTGCTCTGGGAGAGTGTGATATACTCGGTCCTGGAATTATCCATTACTACAAGGATATCTTTTTGTTTGAAAAGTGGAGAATAGTATTAGAAACCATGATCTGATTGCAAGATGTGCTCATTGCTCCTGGATCTCATTGCTTCTAGGCTCTCTAAGCTGAAAGGAAGGAAATGTATGTGTATATACTAACCCATATAACTACATATATCTATAAATGTTTATATATGTAACCATCTATATCTATATTAGGCTAAACATGGGTTAACACTGATGTCTCCAACCCTATTGCATTACATGGGTCATTCTAGTCTCTTCTACTTGCTTATCTTAATATAGATATGGATGGTTACATATCGAAATATTTATAACTCCCACTCCAATAGTGAAAAACCTGACTCCTCCCATTCGACAAACATTTACTTAAATCTTCAGTTCCATTATATGTGTATAACGTCATCAGACTTGTTAACCTGTAGCATAAAAAGAAGCAACGTTGGCTGGGCGCGGTGGCTCATGCGTGTAATCCCAGCACTTTGGGAGGCCGAGGTGGGCACATCACGAGGTCAGGAGATCGAGACCATCCTGGCTAACATGGTGAAACCCCGTCTCTACTACAAATACAAAAAAATTAGCCGGGTGTGGTGGTGGGCGCCTGTAGTGCCAGCTACTTGGGAGGCTGAGGCAGGAGAATAGCATTAACCCGGGAGGCGGAGGTTGCAGTGAGCTGAGATCACGCTACTGCACTCCAGCCTGGGTGACAGAGCGAGAGTCCGTCTCAAAAAAAAAAAAAAAAAGAGAAGCAGCGTTATCAACTAGAGTATAATGCACACATATGCTTTTGTCTTTAATTTTACGAACTCCACTTATTTTCAAAGCTACATAAGTCAGTGTCTTTTCCCCCTCCCTTTCAATTATGGTCTATAATATGTTTGTAATACATTCAGATTGTTTTATCACATCTGTATTCTGTCCTGGGATTCCTCTGACCTCTGTAATATATTTTTGTAATTGCATACTTTAGGATTCATTCTTTATGCTGTATATCCAATGGATTTTGAGAATTCATAGTGTCATATATCCACAATTATAGTATTATACCAAATAGTTTCACCACAGTAAAAAAATCACCTCTGTTCCACCCACTACTTAACCCTTCCTATGCTTTCCTAAGTATCCCGTCAACCACTGGTCTTTTTACCAGCCCTGCAGTTTTGCTTTTTCCAGAACACCTTGTAATTGAAATCATATAATATGTAGCCATTTTCATACTAGATTTTTTTCACTTAGAAATATGCTTTTAAGGTTCACTCATATCTTTTTGTAATTGAATAGTTCATTTGTTTTTGTCTTTTTAAATTTCATTTTCAAAATTTGGTAGAATCACTGATGAAACTGAGTCTGATGGTTTCTTTTTTGGAAGTTATTAATTATTGATTTGATTTCTTTAATGGATACAGAGTTATTCATGTTATCTATTTCTCCTCGTGTAAATTTCAGTATTTTGTGTCTTTCAAAAAATTGGTCCATTTCATTAATTTATTAAAATTATAGATATAGCGTTGCTTATAATATACCTTCATTATTCTTTTAATGTCCATGGGATCAGTAGTGATCACCTCTCTGCAAGACAGTTCTCTGGGTGGCCTTAGATTGACCTAGATATCCCCATTTTCTCACTTGTAGTTCTCAAAATTAACCGAAGAATGTACTGGGAATGAAACATTCTGAGACAAAGAGGAACTAGCTGGAACAGCCTGGGCTCTGTTCCCATCCCTTCTAGAATGGCAGGTCTTACAATGCTTTTGCTCAGGAACTCACATAAGCCCAGGACATAAAACCCAGGATAGGCTGATTTTTGAGGTCTCTCGGCTGCAGTGCAAATGGGTATATGCAGAAAATACTTTATTCACCCTGGGCATTTTTCCTGAACTTGGGGAGCCAGCACTCTGTGAATCTTACGCTTCTGTTGTCCCTTGCTGCCTATCTGTAAGTAATAAGCTGGTTTTCATGTAACTGGATATGTGTGAGTGTTCTGTCTCACTAGACTACTGAAAGTGATAGAAGTTGGCATAGTCCAACGTGCAGTGGATGGAAGTTTAGAGCCTTCCCCTGGGATTGGTAACCAGGGTATGGTTAATCATCTTTGGACTCTCTTTCATTCTATATTGATAATTTGTGTTCATTCTGTTTCTTCTTGGTTAGCCTGGCTAGATAGTTCTCAATTTTATTGATCATTCCAAAATACCAGCTTTTGGGCTTGTTGATTTTCTTTAATGTTTTCTTGTATCCAGTTTTGATGACTTTTGCTCCAATTTTGATTTTTTTAAAAATCTACTTCCTTTAGGCTTAAAGGAAGTAGAATTTTGTTTCTTAGAATTTTGAATACAAATTTGTATTAAGTCCACCTTCAAATCACACTGTTCTACTCATTGAGTAGTTCCTTATAATTATAAGGAACTTGCTTTTCTTGATCTAATAACCTAAAGTAAACGGTTAGGTTACTGATTTTGTATATTTCTTCTTTTCTAATGTACACATTTATTGATATAAATGTTCCTTTAAGCATTACTTAAAAGGGAACCATCTCACAAATTATAAAGAGTTATGTTTTCATTTTCATTTATTTCAAAATACATTTTTACTTGTTGAGACTTTTTTGGTCCATTCAGAAATGTAATTGTTTTATTTCTAAATATTTGAGTATTTTTCTAGTTATTGTCCTGTTCATTTTTAATTTAATTTGTTTCTAGTTAAATTTCATGTGGCCTCAGTACATACTTTATATGATTTATATTCTTTTGATTTTATTTATTTTAGTGATGGGGTTTTGCCATGTTGCACATACTGGCTTTGAACTCCTCGGCCTAAGTGATCCTCCCACCTCAGCTTCTCAAGTAGCTGGGATTACAGTCATAAGCCACCATGAGTGGCATTATATATTCTTTTTAGTTCTTAACATATGATTTGTGGTCAGAATGTGGAATATCATGGCGAAAGTTCAATGCAAGTTTGAAAAGAATGTATAATCTGCTGTTGATGGATGAAACATGCTACAAATATCAATTAGACCAAGTTGATTGATAGTCCTTTTTTGATGACCTATATCCTTATTGATTTTTTGTCTGCTTGATCTGTCAATTACTGACAGAGGGGTGTTGAATTCTCCAGCTATAATAGCATATTTGCACATTTCTCTTTTCTGTTCTATCAGTTTTTACTGCACCTATGTTGATACTCTGTTTTCAGGTACATATATGTTTAGGATCATATGTCATCTTAGAAAATTGAACAATTTATCATTATGCTGTTTTATGCCTGATAATTTTTCTTGTATTGAAGTCTGTTTAAAGTTAATATAGCTGTTCCTGATTTCTTTTGATTAATGTTAGCATGGTATATCTTTCTCCATCCTTTTACTTTGAATTCACTGGAGCCTTTGTGTTTAAGGTGGGTTTCTTGCAGCCAACACTGAGTCTTTTCATGTTTTATCCACTCTGACAAATGCTATCTTTTAAGTGTGTATTTAGGCCATTCACATTTAAATAGAATATTGAGATATTAGGATTAATATATACCATGTTTATATCTGTTTTCTATTTGTTGCTAATACTTCTTTTCTATTTTCTGGGGTTTAGTTGACCATTTTACACAACTCCATTTTATCTCGTTTCTTATTATATCAGTTTTAAATAAATGCTTTAGTTGTTTTCTTAGAGTTTTGAATACAAATTTTTATTAAGTCCACCTTCAAATCATACTGTTCTACTCATTGTGTACTGCAGGTACGTTGTAATTCCTCCCTCCCATTCCTTATGACATTGCTGTTATTCCTTTCACTTACACACATACTATAATCACTCAATGCATTGCTACTGTTATCAGTTTAAACAATGTTATCTTTCTTGGTCAATTAACAAGACAAATAAAATATTTTATTTTATCTTTATTTATTTTCTGACACTCTTTCCTTTTTGTGTAGTCATGAGTTACTGACCTATATCATTTTCCTTCTGCCTAAAAAAAGATACTTTAACATTTATTTCCGCTGGTGATAAATACCCTCAGTTTTTGTTCGCATGAAGAAGTCTCCATTTCATCTTCACTTTAGAAGGGTAATTTCACTGGATGTAGGATATTAGATTTGCATTTCTTCTTTTAACATTTTAAATATTTCTCTATAGTCTGTCATTTTACAATTTCTTTTTTCTTTATTTTATTTATATAAATTTTGGGGTACAAGTGTAATTTTGTTATATAGCTATATTGCTTGGTGGTGAAGTAAGGGCTTTGACTGTATCTATCACTGGAATAATATACATTGTACCCATGAAGTAATTTCTCATTATCTACTTCACTCCCACACCCCTATCCTTCCAAGTCTCCATTATCTATCATTCCACACTCTACATCTATGTGTATACATTCTTTAGATCCCACTTAAAAGTGAGAACGTGCAGGATTTGTCTTTCTGTGTCTGAGTTGTTTCATTAAGACACATGTTTCTTGTTGCCTCTAGTTTCACCTCTGTTGCTGTAAAAGACAAGGTTTCATTCTTTTTTTTATGGTAAAATCGTATTCTGTTGTGTATATATACCACATTTGTGTGTATATACCACATTTTCTTTTTTGGTATAAATTTAAGAGGTAACCACATATTCTTTATTCAATCATTCATGGTTAGACACTTAACTTGAACGTGCTATGATAAACATATGAGTCCAGGTATCTTTTTGATATAATAATTTCTTTTCCTTTGGGTAGATACTCAGCAGTGGGATTGCTAGGTCAAATGATAGTTGTATTTTTCGTTATTTGAGAAATGTCCATACTGCTTTCTGTAGAGGTTGTACTAATTTAGATTCCCACCGACAGTGTATGAGCATTCCCTTTTCTACACATCCTCACTGTTTTAAAAATAATAACCATTTTAATTAGGATAAGGTGATATCTCATTGTGGTTTTCATTTGGATTTCTCTGATTATTAGTGATGGTGAGAATTTTTCATTTACTTGTTGGCCACTTGTATATCTTCTTTAGAAAAATGTTTATTTATGTCCTTTGCCAACTTTTTAATGTAATTATTTATATGTTATTTGTTGAATGGTTGGGATGCCTTGTAAATTTTGGATCTTAGTTCTCTGTCAGATGTGTAGCTTGTAAATATTTTCTTCCTTTCTGTAGATTGTCTGTTTACTCTGTTGATTATTTCTTTTGCAGCACAGAACCTTTTTAGTTTAAGTAAATCCCATTTGTCTGTTTTTTGTGTATATTGTTGCCTGTGCTTTTGAGTTATTTGCCTAGACTACTGTCCAGAAGAATCTTCCCTGGGTGTTCTTGTTGTATGATTTCTAATAAGACGTCCACTATATTCCTTATCTTTTTCCTCCCATTGGTAAGGTGTTTTCTTCTTCAGGCTTATTTCAAGGTATTCTCTTTGTCTTTGGTTTTCTGGAGTTTTAAGGTGATATGCTAGGTGTAGATTAGTTTTGTAGTTTTTGGGATTTATTCAGTTTACTGTTCTCTGGGCTCCCTGAATCTGTGGTTTGGTGTTTGTCATTAATACTGGAAAGTTGATCAATATTACTTTATGTATTTTTTCTGTTCCATTTTCTCTTTCTTCTCCTTTTGGAATTCCAATTAACCATATGTTATTCCTTTGAAACCTTCTTACAGAGCTTGGATTTAAAAAAAAAATCTCTTTGTATTTCAGTTTGGAAAGCTATTAATTTATCTTCAAGCTCACTAATTCTTTCTTCAGCTTTGTCTAGTTTCCTAATGAACCCATTAAATATATTTTCCTTTGTTTTATAGTGTTTATGATTTCTAGCATTCTAAAAATTCTTTTTTAATAATTTCCATCTCCACTTACTTCAGCTGTCTTTGCACAATTGCAGTTATAGATTTTAACATATAAATTATAGTTGTTTAGAATTCCCTGTGTGTTAATTTTAATATTTGCGTCATATCTTATCCTGGTTGTAATGCTTGCTTTGTCTTTTTAGAATGTTTCTCTTGCCTTTGGTGTACCTTGTAAATTTTTGTTGAATAATAGAAATGTTTTATCAGTTAGAAGATATACTAGAAATAGGCAAGGCATGGTGGCTCACGCCTGTAATCCCAGCACTTTGGGAGGCAGAGATGGGCGGATCCCCTGCAGTTGGGAGTTCGAGACCAGCCTGACCAACATGGAGAAACCCCGTCTCTACTAAAAATACAAAATTAGCTGGGCATGGTGGTACATGCCTGTAATCTCAGAAACTTGGGAGGCTGAGGCAGAATTGCTTGAACCTGGGAGGCAGAGGTTGCAGTGAGCCGAGATCGCACCATTGCACTCCAGCCTGGGAAACAAGAGTGGAACTCCATCTCAAAAAAAAAAAAAAAAAAAAGATATATTAGAGATAAATAAGCTTCTTGTGTGAGGGTTTATGTTAATCTAGCTAGAAATTTGGCTTTATTTAATGTTTGCTGCATCTATAGGTGCCACAGGCTTTATTTGCCTCTAGTGTTCTTATTTCTTTCCTATATTCACATTGGGTTTCTCTAAGTCTTCTTCTTTAAAGACAGCTGTGTTTTGCACCTGTTTCAAATGTAATCCACTATTAATATGTTGGAGTCATTCTCTCACTAGTCCAAATCAGCCTGCAGAAATTCGTTAAAGTAACCACTTAAGCTTTTCTATCATTTTATGGCTCAAGTGGCCTCCGCTCCAGGTAAACACATCTCTATTATGATTTTTTGGATTTGCCTGTATCTCCAGATTTTGGGGTGGTGGTTTGTCCAGAAAACTCAGTTTTCTGATGGGTCGAAAATAGTTACTTGATTTTCAGTTTGTTCCTGTAGAAATGGAAGTGATGACCTTTTTCCAAATTCTTTACAGAAAATCTGCTTTGACTACTATAGTTTTTAACATACTGTGTGGCATATAATTGTATTTATTATTTCTTGTCCTACGTCTTTGTTGCTAGGAGTTGGTTGTAGACTAAGCATATCATAAGCTGGTTCCTTAAGTCCTTTAGAATATTAATTTGCATACTACTTTAGAGTTGAGGTCAATAGGAATCTTATTATGATAAATTAAATAATAAATTTCAAATAATATTTCACAGCACTTTTGGACCCTTTTATTTTTACATTGTATTTTAATATTTGTAGTAAAAAATAGCCGATATTTCTTGAGTAATTTACTATGGGACTTGTGCTATGCACAAGAGGTTTACTTGGGTTGTTTAATTCACTTTACACAAAATCCATATAAGTATTTCTATCATTTCTACTTTATTCATAAAGAAACAAATTCAGAAAGATTATGTAACTTGCTGACGGTCACAGAGCTAGTTAAGATGTAGCAGGATTTGAATTTAGACAGTCTAATTTCATTCTTCACTCTTAATGTCTACGTAATATTGGCCCTCAATAGCCCTTTAGGTTTAGCCATATGAGTTACTCTCTATAATGGCAAAATACAATGTAATATATTCTTTTATATGTTGTGGTCATAAGGTGAACTGATGGTTGGCTCTAGTACCTAGTACTACTCCCCATCCCCTAAAAAATGACAGATATTTCAGCAAAACATTTTCACTAATTTTAAATAGCAGATTAATTCTATTTATTTAATATATTCACATAGAGTAAGAATTTTACATCTAATTTGTATTAAATGTGTCATCATACTAATTTAATTTAGATTTTTCTTTCAGGTGGTTTATTCAAAGTTTTGGAAGGTCATTGTGAGGAGTTTTTAAACTTCTTACTTAATAATGTAGTACATGATAAAAATGGTAAGACATTCCCATTCTTCTCTGTATCTCCATTCTTTTTGCAACATAACTTTGAAGGTTCTGCCTTCAAGAGCTGTGGTTTGTTTCTTTACTCTTGGAATTGGTTCAGACTTGCAACTTGGTTTGCCCCATTACATGTGGTATGAGTGTCATTGTATGAATATCAAGTTTAGGACTAAAAAGACTTGCATATTTCTGTTTTCTCCTTTAGAAACTTCCTGAGCCACCATATGAAAAAGCTACCCTTTTGGATGATGAGCTACATATGGTTCAGTTAACTCTGGCCCACTCAATAACTGGCCAATCAGCAGACCTGTGATTAAGTCCATCTTAGATCAGCCAGACTCAGCTAACTTGCTGATGACCTCAAACACACGAGCAAGTGTAGCCCAGATCAGCCCAGCCTGGCTCAGATGGAAAGGACCACTTAGCTGACTTGTAGACTTAGTGGCAAAAATAAATGATTGTGGTTTTAAACTTATAAGGTTGGAGTAATTTGATGTACAGAAAAATCTCCTGATAGAAATCATATCCTAGATCAAATATCTAACAAGTATGCTATATAAGGTGGAAGTTTCGTTATTTTGGTGCAAGGTAAATAAAGCAAGTTTAAGGGGAAATATCTCAGACATCCTTGTAGTTATTCAGCTTTTCCACAAGATACAGAATTTAAAATAGTAGTGGTAATAATAATAATAATTAGAATCATAACAACATGTTTATAGCATTTACTATATAGTAAATTATAAGAACTTTACATACAATAATTATTTGATTCTCAAAATAATTGATAAAGTAGATATATTATTTTTCCCATTTAACTGTGTTAAATAATTTAAAAATTTGGGTCTATCTCAATGGTTTAATTCTTAGTCTTCTTTTCTTAACTGTCTTCATGGCTTTCATAACTTTCAATCTTCTACTTATAAGGTTTTTGGTTTCTTTTCTTTTTTTTTTAATTATACTTTAAGTTCTAGCATACATGTGCACAACATGCAGGTTTGTTACATATGTATACATGTGCCATGTTGGTGTGCTGCACCCATTAACTCGTCATTTACATTAGGTATATCTCCTAATGCTATCCCTTCCCACTCCCCCCACCCCACGACAGGCCCTGGTGTGTGATGTTCCCCTTCCTGTGTCCATGTGTTCTCATTGTTCAATTCCCACCTATGAGTGAGAACATGCGGTGTTTGGTTTTTTGTCCTTGCGACAGTGTGCTGAGAATGATGGTTTCCAGCTTCATCCATGTCCCTACAAAGGACATGAACTCATCCTTTTTTATGGCTGCATAGTATTCCATGGTGTATATGTGCCACATTTTCTTAATCCAGTCTATCACTGATGGACATTTGGGTTGGTTCCAAGTCTTTGCTATTGTGAATAGTGCCACAATAAACATTCATGTGCATGTGTCTTTATACCAGTATGATTTATAATCCTTTGGGTATATACCCAGTAATGGGATGGCTGGGTCAAATGGTATTTCTAGTTCTAGATCCTTGAGGAATCACCACACTGTCTTTCACAATGGTTGAACTAGTTTACAGTCCCACCAACAGTGTAAAAGTGTTCCTATTTCTCCACATCCTCTCCAGCACCTGTTGTTTCCTGACTTTTTAATGATCACCATTCTAACTGGTGTGAGATGGTATCTCACTGTGGTTTTGATTTGCTTTCTCTGATGGCCAGTGATGATGAGCATTTTTTCATGTGTCTGTTGGCTGCATAAGAAGGCTTTAAAAGTCTATAATTATACAGATAATTAGCAACACAACACATGTACTTCACGCTCCTGCCAATGTTCATAACACCAGTCACTAATCTGCTGCCTTAAACACGTTATAACTTCAGTTCCAAAAAGTAATCCAGTGAAATATGAACTGCAAGATAAGTAGTTCACCAAATTCCTTTTCTACATAGCTGGCCATTTGGGGTCAAGGATCCTGAAAAATATAGTGGAAGGTGTGAATTATCCCTCAAAAAATGTGAAAAATAGCAAATGTGCATTGAATATTAGAAATCCTTGATGCCTCTCTGAAGCCCATCTTTAGGCCTCAAAATAAAAACTGTTATTCTATATAAATAGAAATGTCTGTTTTTGTGTGAAACAAAAACCATCACAGAGCTTTACAGCTATGTATTTAGAGGTCCACTACCACCTCCCATGATAGCCCCTACAGTGCCCATCACAGGGTTTGTAATCAGTTTCCAGTGAGTTCTGCTGTTATGGCCTGTAAGAAACTCACAGGACACTGGGTTTTGTATATTGTAGTTTGTCTAAGAATTTTTTCCACTTCATCAGTTAATGACTAGACCTTCTGTTAATCTTGTGGAAACATGGTTTAACCCTCATTGTAAAGAAAACTAGTGCTGCTTTTAAGCCGGTATTATATATTTATCTTGTGGGAGAAGTAATTTTGTAATTGTTCTTTATTTCTTTTGTGCTGTCTCAACCATGTTTACCCATGCATTATAACATGCATTACCATGTACTTACTTTCTTTTATTTTACTATTTGAACACAATTTTTCTTTTAGTTTAATTTATTTGTCCTCTTCTCTCTTCCCACTCCTTTTTATTGAATGATACTTAGTTGTGTATGATATCTCAAATCCTTTGTGGAATGAAGTGGAATATTGATTCATAAGTTAAAAAAAGGGAGCAGTAAATATCTTTTTTGAAATATTCAAATTACAATGTGTTCTTATAATTTCCAGGGAATATGAATTTCACATAGGAATTGGTCAAACTTCCCTAGGTTTTAAGTTTCTGTAAAGTAAGTGTCTTTACACTGGGATTTTACAGTTTGATTTACATTTGTTTGTGTAACATTATTTTGGAATAATATAATATCTCTGTGATAATAGAATTTGAGTTTTCTTTATTCCCAACTCTGGTGCTGGCCTGTTTTTGGTAAGTGGCCAAATCCCTCTGTAGCTGTGTTGCTCTGTGTTTGAAAGCGGAGTAATAAAATATGCTAACACCCTTCCCCTTGAAAAGTGTGTCTTTCTATATAAAAGATTTAAGATTCTTGAAACAAAATCCTTTGTGTCTAAAAGAACAGCATGGGCCATTATTTCCACTTCATGCTGTTTGCCTCCTCTATTATACTAACTTGAGTGTCTCTAGAGTGACAGCCATAAACATTCTGAGAATGCACCAAGAAAAGTTAAGTTGTTCATCGTTCAATCAATGGACATGTTGTGGTTGTGACTTTTTGTAACTAGAGCTCCTTAAAGTTACTAGAGCATCTGTATGAGGAACAACTTGTGGGCTCTCAGGGTCTGGTGAGACCAGTTTAGTAGGGCATGGCAATAGTGAAGACTTCCGTCCCACTAGGTTTACTCTGTGAAGTGTTTTTAGATTGCTCTTAACCTTCCAGCTGCCTCTTGGATCCTCATTATCTGTGTTCCAGAGGAGCAGGTGTTCTGTTCAACATTCCCAATGGCATAAAAACTCAAAGAGCAGTTAACTGATGGTAACTCACTGCCATTCAAACATTTAGTATGTTAGAGGAATGAAAGTTGCTTGCTCATAAGCTCTTCAATGTCACAAGTTACCTGGTAAAAATACAAAAATACTGGGGAGCCCATTTACCCATTTACCCAGGGTAAGTGGACTAGAGCAAATGGCTAACCACACGTATGTAATGCATCTGTACACAAGAACATAACATGTTATCAAAGAAGTAGAAGAAAATGTAGGTTTTTAGAATTTACCTTCCTCTCACAAATGAGAAAACTAAGGCACAGTAATTTCTCTAAGATTATAAATAAGTAGTGGAAGAGCAAGAAAAAAATCCTGGGTTTCCTGACATCCTAATAAGTGCTCTTCCTATGTCCTATAATGTATTTGATTTTCTTACAAAAGCACTATTTTTGTATTCCAAGGCTTTACGGCTTGAACCTTCTCATTCTAACATCTTTCTCAATTCTTATTGATGATACCTCTGCTCATGGAATCTAATTAGAGAAGAAATGTTGCTGGTTTGTTTTCCAGTTACAAAACAATTTTTATTTCTGTTTTATAGCTACTTTACTATGTAATATACTCATATTTAAATCAATCAATAACTTGTGTGGGAAAATTTTGAAATACAGTATGTTTTGTCTTGCACAATGTAGAGCTTTGCAGATCATAAAAGTCAATAATTGTGTTTTTAATGAGTGAGTGGATAGTTATATGAAGAAAATGAGATTAAAATCAGAAATGAGGTTATTAGTCTTATTAGTAGTTTGATATAATAGTTTAAATTCGAATTGAGAATAAGCTTAAGAATATTCCAAAGGACAATATTTAGATCATTAGATAGCATATATATTTTACTGTAGCCTTATATAATTTTAGGTTTTTTGTACAAACTAAAATTATTTTAGAGTTATTCATTACTTCAGAGAACCAAATTTTTCATGGAATTTGTCTATTGCCAAACTACACATTTGTGTACGTTATTTGTATCTACAACTGTTTGTGTCTAGTGTTTTACAGATACATTCTTATTCTGTACTTACACATGCTGTTTATCATAGTATTCAACTTTTGGTTTTAAAATGTGTACAATTCTGAAAATTGATGTTTCCTCTAACTTTAATAGAGTGAAGGAGCAACATATTTGTGTTACTTAATTAGTTTCTAATCTTTCTCTGTATGATGCTTAGAAAGCTAAAATTTTGGTGTTACATATTTTATACTATCTAGTTAGCCTGAATTTGTCCAAACTTTAATTAAATATTTTTCTCACAATTAAGACTTATTTTGGGCTAGTCACATCTATGTTTGTTGAGTAAAGAAATGAAAAGAAGGACTTTCCCCTTAATTTGTCATTCTCTTGGTATTTTCTGATGATTATCTGTGTGAGGTGACACTGTGTTAGTTTTACAGCCAGAAATGATAAAGTAATTCCAAATTTAACTTTAAGCTTTCTCTAGCTGGGGGTTTATTTTCAGTAGAATATATGTTTTACTACTACATTAATACCCCAAATAAAAATATCTTGAAATATGTATCTCAGATTATAGGCTGAGTATAAGTAGTCCAGAGCTGACCTGATAAGTTTATGGTGCCAGGGACCCAGGTTTTTATAAAATTGTTTATTTACCATCCTCAAGGAAATACCCCCATCTAAGCCTTTTGAGAAGGGTATAGAAAGGAAAAGAAGGGCTTTCCTCTTCGTTTTAAGAGTATGACCTAAAAAATCACACATACAATATCTCCTGAAATCTGATGACCCTAATTTGGCTGCATGGTTACTCCTACATGCAAAGTAGGCTGGTAATTTAATCTTTAGCCAAGTATTCATATGTCTCATAATTTTGCCACCATGTCGGAAGGGAAGAAGTGATACTTAAGTAAAACTGCAATTTATGCCCAGGGTTAAGATTATTTGATAATACCTTCTGTTTTGTTTTGTTTTTGTTTGTTTGTTTTCCACTCATGTTTTTCTCTGTTTTGGGGTTACAATTAGAATAATTTCTATTGACCTACTTTTAGGTTTGCTGATTCTGTCTACTGTTGTACCCTGTCTGCTGTTAAAGAAGTCTTCATTACTGATATCATACTTTTTAATTCTAACCTTTCCATTTGAGCACTTTTTATAGTTTCCATATCTCTGTTGAAATTGCATGATGATTATTCATCCATGTTGTCCTGTTTTTTTCACTTGATCCTTTCATATATTATAATTAATTTTAAGGCTTTGATTTTTCAGTATGTCAGCACTGTGTCTGGTTCTGTTGTCTATTTTGACTCTTGACAAAGACTTATTTTATTCCCCGGCTGTGAGTGTGTCATATTTTTTTTTTGTTGAATTCTAGAATTATGTGTGAAAGAACAGTAGAGACTAAGGTAAATAGTACCTGTGCTTATAAAGGTGCATGCCCCTTCTTCTGTCAGGCTATTACTGTGCAAAGCTGAGTCAAACCAGATAGTAGTTAAGCTTGGTTTGGTGTTATCGTGGCTGTAGTTATCTTTAGTGCATCACAGGTTTCAAATTTCCTAACAGTGGGCTACTAACACCTTTTGCTTAATATGGGGCTAGTTTGCCAGTGAAATTTTCTTTATGTTCCTGCTCTATACTCAGATTTCAGTAGTCCCTACACACCTGCACCATAGAAAGCATTTTTCCATGTTGTTATCTCTCTTCCAACGGTGTTACTTTGCTTGTTTGAGGCATGCAGTAAGTGCAAGAATTGTCTCTTAAGTTTTTGTGTTCCAGCTTCAGTCTTAGTCAGATCCTCTCTATATACAACATGATGAAGGATCTTTATTAGCATTTCTGTTTTTCCTCATGACAGTCAAACTCTGTCTTGTATCTGTGAGACTCTTGATTTGGAGAGACTTTACTGCCCCTCACCAACAGAAGTAGACCTCTCTTACAGAGCCAAGTTTGCTTCTGTATCTCCATCAGTAACCTTGTACCTTTGCCTGGGACTAGTGAAAGAGGGTTTCCTAAACTTGTTGTGTAGGAGATTGCTGTTGCTTGTTCTTTGAGACAATGCTTGTGGTAGGAAAAGGTCCAGTTTTGTGCCCCTTCCCAAAGGTCACACAATTTTGATTTCTACTATTTACCCCTGCCTGGGAGGAGAGGCTAGAGTTTCCTGCCCTTCACCCAGTGGTTTATAGCTTTGCTTCATATGAGAAAAAGTCTAAGAGGTGGAAAGAGATTCATGCCTGTGCCCCCACAAAGGTGGAACTCTCTCAGATATCCTTTTCTGACCCCAATCTTTCTCAGGAGTACAAGATGGAGGCTCATAGTAAAAAACTAGAGAGTGATTGCAGAGTCGCCAGTGCCTGAGGCTCCCAGGTAATTCTAAATTTTCACCTGAGCCCGTTCTTGGTGTTTGAGAATGCATTCATGTTTTAGCTGTTTTCCTTTATTTTTATGCTGGTCACTTCTTACTCTTGTGCTCTGTGAAGGTAAAACAGTTCATGTGTCTCTTCTTTCCTTAGAAGCTTTTTCATCCCTTGGAATTTACTTTACCCTTCACCTCAGTTCTCTGATAGGTTTGAAATGTTGTGATTTTGTAGTTTTTTTTTTTTTTCCTGGCCTTTTCTTGTGAGGAAAGAAGTGATATTTTCTTGTGGATTTATACATCTTAAGTTGAATCAGAACCTGTCCCAGGATTTAAACAGTTCATGGAGAGTATTGCCTTTTACTAAAATAGTTTCTTGGCTTTCATGGACTTAGAATTTATAGTATTTACTGTGTGTGGTCTATTGCAAAACAAGTTCAATAATTTCTAATTGGAATTTTAGTGTTAAAGTGGTCTGACTTATATAGTGGATCTAGCCCAATCTTAACTAGTTTGTAAACCTAGCTAAATCTTTTAATGTCTGCATCTCAACCAGTCTTTATTGTTTTCCGCTATTTTTCACATATGCAATTTACAGGGGAGAGGGATGTTTGTGATGCTGGAAATTATATGCTGTAGTGACGTGAATAAATTTAGCTATTTGCAAAGATCACAGGTAATATTATTAACAGATGTCAAGAGTCTATTCTATTCTATTCTTTTTAGAATATATAGTAGACTACAAATATGTTCATATATATTCTGGAGCTTCTATCTAACCCTCAAATTCATCAAGCTAGATATATTCGGATAAGTGTGTGGTTTCTTTTAAGTGATATTTGAGATCATCATCGTGTGTTTTGTATATATATCAAGCACGAGTTAACTTGATGCCGTTTTAATCTAATAAGATTCTTTTTATCACTACACTAAAATGATTGTGTGTAGGATGCTAGATGTAAATGTGTGGGAGTGAGTACACATCCTTGTTAAGTGGCTTCTTCAGTCAGCTTTATAGCGCATCTGATTCAGATTTGCACTTGAAAACAATACTCTATGTCACCGACAATCTTCATAAGTAGCATGTCATCGAAACAGTAAATATTAAACCTGTAAAGGACAAAGACCTATTGTATCATAACAATGGTGTTGTAAAATCATTATTGGGTTTTAGAATAAAATTAATTAATATTTAAAAACAGGCTGTAGCTTAAGGTACTAATATTTTACAAGATAAATGCCAGCTTTTCCTTTTCTACTTTCCATTTTAAAAATTGCTAAAATGCATATTTTACTTGAAGCTTAATAAATATATTTAGTTGTAGCTTAATGAATATCTTACAGAAGAGATAAAATCAAATTAATGATGTGTGCCCAATAGAAGTGGTCTTATGAAACCATAAGAGCCATCTTTTCTCTACAAGGAACCAATCTTCATAAGCTATAAGAATATCCATTTGACACACTTTATTAATTGTAATTAAAACATTAACATCTACTTTCCTGTGTTGTCACCTAATAGATTTTGATCAGGTTTCAT
Source organism: Homo sapiens (assembly GCF_000001405.40). NCBI lineage: Eukaryota > Metazoa > Chordata > Mammalia > Primates > Hominidae > Homo > Homo sapiens. Next base: position 103,920,314 of record NC_000006.12, on the reverse strand, counting down.
ATTTGTTCATGAGTGGTGGTTTGTATATTGTGATTAAGACTCATTTTGAACCTTGATATTATGTCATTGTGATAAAATAAACTCTGAGATCAGTTATTTGTACTGTTTTTCCTTATGCAATTTTTTTAATCTGTCAATATAATAACATTTGAATACTTAGATTTATTTGGAAATAAACGCTCAACTACTCTAGTCATTTAATATTCACTGTCATACTGTTAATCATAATGGTCTTACGTGGGTTTATTGGGAGGTAATTTCACTGTAAGACCATACGAAATCCCCTATTACTTGTTCATATTTAGTCAAGTGTATCTGCTTTAGTATATCTGGATTTGGCAAGATTCCAGTTCCTTTGAAACTTCTGTTAGAGGGATATTTGAAAAGTGGAAACCAGTGTGCAGGGAGGAACAAACTCACCATCAGGCAGTTTAATTTAGATGCCCTTAATCTGGTTCGGATTCAGTGGCTTGATTTTGAAAATGGGTTTCCTCTAGCTCTCCAAATTTTCTTCTCTATAACTTGGATAAGGTCAATTAGACCCAGAGAGGAAATGTCCACACCTAATGTGAAAATGCAAATGATTGGCTTGCTGTTTTTGTGAAAATGCCAGAAATTGCATGTGTTAGTATTATCTTACATTGTAGAAAAAGCCAATTTGATAATTGTGAACTGCTTTCTGCAGCTGTGAATGCCCCCTTTCAAACCAACAGAAAACAACAGGAGGCCCAACTGTGAACATTCTTTTGAAAATTCTATTTACAAAGTGTATCCATTAACAAACTACCCCACAGCTTCCTTGGGAATTAAACAAAGTCAGATCTGATAAAGTAACAGTGCTACTCAATAGGGTTTGATCGTATTGGGTCTCTTGTATTCAAGTCCCAGCAGAGTGGAATTGGTAGGTTTTCTCGAATGTTTTATAAAATTATTCTATTAACATGGATAAATGGCCTAACCAGTGTAATCACCAAAAGTCCAAACATGGTTTATAATAAATATTTAAATGATACTATGTCTTAAAGAAGTACCTATACATTTGATTTCAAATATTTCATGTTCCTATCAAAATCACTGAAAACTTATTATTTGATCCCTAGTAATAATTGTATTTTCTTAATGTTTATTTCCTCCACCAAATTGTAAGCATTTTGAAGGCAAAGAAAATGCATATTTTTATTTTTTGCATAGGTCTTATTACTTTGTGGGTTCTCTGTTGATTGTATAATTGATTGAATATACAAATGTACTGATATTAGAAAATAAAACAAAATGCATTGCAATATATTGGAAAAAACTTAGCATTTCAAATCAAATATTTCTTTCTTTTTTGGACAGAAATTTCACTCATGTTTATGATTTTTAGAGTTAGTGAATGTGAAGTCTACCAACAAAATATACCATGTATTTAGCTAGGTTGCTCATTTTTAAACAAAATTAATGACACTAAAAATATATCCAAATCTGTAATTTAGCCAAATTGTATATTTTTCAAAAAAAATTTTATTGTTTCTTAAACAGAGATTAATGTTACGAGGCATTTAGGAAAGGCAAGATGGCTTCTAGCTCATCATAATCACCCCAGAAAAGCTACAAATAAATAACCTGACAGTGGTTTTTGAGGGTTTCTGGTAATGAAGGTTACATTTTTTTCTCTTTGTATTCTGTTTTATTTAAATGAGATTAAAATATTTTAAGGCATTTTAATGGAATTTATTTTACTAGTTCAGAATATGAACCCTATTTCACAGTCTAAATATTTCTACATATATCCAAATTTGTCCCATTCCTATAAATTCATCTCAGATCTGATGTAATATAATAGATGAAGAAAATTTTTAAGCAAAAGAAATGGCAGAAGTGCACACAGTCTTTAGGAAGGTGACAGGTAATTCTTCCTGTCCAAAGAAACAGAAAAGACTTACTAGCTATAATCTGCAAACAATTGTTTTGAGTTTATTTCCCATCCCTCCCCAGCATACAAAATACATACAAATAATCAAAAAGAGTTCCAAATTATGGATTCCCCTGAAGACAAAACAATACTATAAATAAGTGTTTTTAGAAACATAAAATATATATTGGTGATGATTTTTATTTTTTTAAAATTTTTAATTTTTTTAATTTTATTATTATTATACTTTAAGTTTTAGGGTACATGTGCACAACGTGCAGGTTTGTTACATATGTATACATGTGCTATGTTGGGATGCTGCACCCATTAACTCGTCATTTAGCATTAGGTATATCTCCTAATGCTATCCATCCCCCCTCCCCCCCACCCCACAACAGTCCCCTGTGTGTGATGTTCCCTTTCTTTTTTCTTTTTTTTTCTTTTTTTTTTTTTTTTTTTTTTTTTTTTTTGAGACGGAGTCTCGCTCTGTCGCCCAGGCTGGAGTGCAGTGGCGGGATCTCGGCTCACTGCAAGCTCCGCCTCCCGGGTTCACGCCATTCTCCTGCCTCAGCCTCCCAAGTAGCTGGGACTACAGGCGCGCGCCACTACGCCCGGCTAATTTTTTGTATTTTTAGTAGAGACGGGGTTTCACCGTTTTAGCCGGGATGGTCTCGATCTCCTGACCTCGTGATCCGCCCGCCTCGGCCTCCCAAAGTGCTGGGATTACAGGCGTGAGCCACCGCGCCCGGCCGATGTTCCCTTTCTTGTGTCCATATGTTCTCATTGTTCAATTCCAGGACTGTGTGGCTAAGAACACTCATTTAATGCCTGTTGGCAGTGTGTTGCTATTTTATAAAGAAAATTGAATCATTGGTCAGGTAAAAATGGACTGAATAAAGGCCATCTCCTAGAAGATGAGACAGGAGCTTGAAGTCAGCTTTATGTTAGACATTAAAAACTGCTACAATTTTCATGTCATTTAATCCTGGAGAAGAATATTTTAGATACCCATTAATTTGTTATAAATATTTATAAGGAGGAGCTCCTATCATGGAGGACTACACAGACCAGATTCTCCAAGGAGCAAGAGTAGAGGGGGTATGCCAGGAAATTTAATTCATATAAATCTGGATAGAAATCAGCCTTATTTAAGAAGATTGTGAAATGGTGCTAACTGAATGCGGGCAAAAGAATTGTCCATTATCCCAAGATATTTATCAATAATTCAGGACGTTTATGAAACAAGGAAACCATTGGTTGAAAGTCACTGAACTTGACCTTTGAAATAAGAACTGTTATTTTCATGATACATTAGTTTGATGGTGTACCCATGACATGGATAGAAATATCTATTCTTTTTCACATACAGCACATAGGAAGGTTAAAACTTTACTAAAATCTGCACTTAGTGGGGTTAAAAGGCAAATCGCTCACTTCTGGCCTGGTATTTCATCTTGCATTATCTCATTCTCAGCTGTGGGTTGGATGTTATTTTTGCTTTATACAGACCTACCAGAAGCACAGTCGTTTTCAGTGATCAGTTTGCTAATTAGTAGTTTCAGAAAGTGCTCAGTGTTTGCAGCTCAAAGTTTCCAAAGTTTACTTCCAGGATTGAGTATCTAATCCTACTTTCCTCCACTATGTTCTGCAAAATACCAGTTGTTTTTAGGTAAAGCCATCTGTCTCTCAAATGTTTACTATTTGCATTCTCTTTTTTTGTGTGTTGTATGTCTTTTCTTTGGTCAAAAAAGATATATTAAAGAAAAAAAAACCTGAAAGGTAAGAGTGCTTTCTAACTGGATTGCATTATGTCACCTCCTGTGGAACATCATTAAACGGCCCTAATGATTCTACTAGCTCAATCATTATTTATAAATTATGTTTCATTATTTGCAAGATGTGGGTTGTATTGGTACATGATTATATGTGACCTTTGTATTCTTTTCTTTCCTTCTTCCTTTTTTATGTATCACTCTTTCTTACTCTCATCCTACGGACAAATTATAAATGGATAGTAATCATTCATGTATTGTTTTTCTTTTATATATTCCACAGTTTAGGCCATTATAAGCTATCAAAATGCACCTTATTATTTAGCTGAAATTACTAATGTGACTATTTGAAAAGAGAAGTTCTATTTTATCCAAGGAAATTACTAAGGGAAGAAGCAAATGGTGAATTGTGTGGAAAATGTACTATCAACCTGAATAATCCATTTATATAATGATGGCAGATTTGTCTCTTGAGGTATCTTATGCTTCTATCATTCTATAATTACGGATATTCAAATTGGATCACTGCAATAATGATTGCTTTGAGGACTCTGAGATATTTTTATCTTAATAGCAGGGCACCTACCTCTCCAACTGCACCTCATGCTAATCTTTCCCTAGATCAGAGATTAGCAAACTTTTTCTATAAATGGCCAGTTAGCAAATATTTTAGGCTTTGTGAGGCATACGGTCCCCAATGTAACTAGTCAATTAGTCTTTTTTTCATAGCGTCTGACATTTGTCGAAAATAAGAAGTAGACTTTTGTCCAGGTAGTGTTGAGTTGGGCAGAGTGCAGGAGTTATTTTGTTGACCAACAGGCACCTATATAACTGAGGAAATGCTGTATATTCAGAAGGGAGCTGGAATCTGGGCAAAACTAACTGATTCAAAGGTGAAATAACTTGATTTGTTTGCCAAACACTCTGGGCCCTAGATGCCATATGGAAGGAGTATAAAAGGTCCCTGTGAGGAGGACAGGAATGAGCCTCATTAAAGGTGAAAGGCTGGTACCTTCAGCAGGGTGGCAAGCTGTCCAAATCATTGTCCAGGAGCTGTGGTCAGTTCAGATACCTCCTACATGAGCCTGGATTGCTAAAGGTGATGGTGTCTCAGTGGGACATAATACATGGTAACGTCAGTGAGAAGCTCATGTCTCCTTGTAGATAGATCCAGGCCTAGAAGTTTTTTCTATAAGTCCTTTAACTCTGCTGTTGCAGCATGAAAGAGCAATAGAGAATAGTACATCAAAGGGTTGTGGCTGTGTTCTAATTTGATTGTTTATAAAAGCATAGACGGCATTTGAACTGAGGGACATAGTTTGCTGGGCTTTGGACTAAGTCAGTCTGTGCTGGCCACATTAGACATTTTTCATTCTTTAGGCAGAGAAAGATCTCAGTGTATATGCTGTTCTACCACTTAAAGTACTCTTTTCCCTTATTTTCTACTTTATTGATTTCTGTTCTTTTTTTTTTTTTTTAATCTCAGCTAAACTGAAACTACATTTGAAGACAGAGTAACCATATACCCTGGTTATGTTCTGGTTAGCTTGGATTTACAACTGTTGTCCCAGTGTAATTGCTGATGTGTCACCTGTCACTTTCAAATGTGACACAATGGAGATGAGAAGTTACTGGTCACTTTAATCAAAGAGAAAGTCTCTGAATATTCTGTGTAATTAGGACACTATCAGATAATCCACTGTTTATATGAGAAACACTAAAATTTGCTTTTATACACGTATTATTTACTGTATGCCTCTCCCTAGTGGAATGTGAACTGCATGGGGATGGGGTCAAGTCTCTCCTGTTTATGTGACATTTCCACTCTAAGTATACTATATGCAAGTTACACAGTATACTCAAAAACTTAAATGAGTTAATAATTAAATATTTCTTACTTTCTTATCTGGGCAGGTAAAATCCTCATTTATATATATTGTCTCCAATGAGGAAACACTTTTTCCTTACATCGACAGTTTACTGTTAGAGATTTTCCCTCATCTTCAGCAGAGAGGTGGGATGCAGGCTTCTGAACTGATCAGTGTGAAAAGAGTAAGGCCTGGAATTTTGCTTAATGCTCCTCCTACACCTCCCACTAGAGATTTCTGGATGAAGGTGGTATGAGTAGCATTGTACTAAGACTTCCTTGGATAGTCAGACAATGGCAGTGTTCTTTAAATGAACCTAGTTTAATCTCAGCCATCCTCTTTTTCTCCAAGAAAATGGGACCTATTGTTCAGCTGAGAATCTCTTAAAAATCCTTGACTTATGTACCTTTTTTCCTGATGCTTAACATTTCTGCAATGATAATTTTTTCTTAATATAAACAAAGATAATTTTTCATTGTTTCCAGAATACTTGATAAATATCTCATCTGCTCAATCTTATTAAAGGAATGTGGTGATGTTCACTGTAAATAAAAGAGTTTGTATAGGTATGTAAATTCTAAATAAGAATATAAAGTTTATATACAGCTTGAAATTATGGGAATGCATTTATGTCTGTATCTGAAAATACTGTAATGTATTGTTTCTAATTAAAATGAATTTTTATTAGCCTTTGCTGCTTTGAAAAGCTGCAAAAAGAAATAAAAGTTTCTACATACTTCGGTGGGGACTTAAGCAACACAAAACAAAATTTAGTAGCAATCAAAGCTTTTATTTACTCCTAAATATATGAACATATTAATATTTTATCTCAGCATCCTCATTTTACTTTTTGAATATGTTAATTTCTGCTTTAAAAAAAGTGTCTCCAAAGAAACAAATACTACCTCCATATTCAAGGTGGGAAATAATCAAGTTGCTATACTTTTTTTTTTTTTTAACACATCTTCTTTTCTGTGAAAAGGAAGAAGCAAAGAGTGATTTTTGTTAAATAATTATTGATCTTATTTAATATCAATATGATTTGGTAAATTATCAATGAGATATGGCCATTTTGATAATACAGAGATGATTCAATGTTGAATCACTGAAAAAAAATCAATGGCTTAATGTTGGTTATATACAAAACTGCAAAAATAAATGACATGTTTTCATTATTATTAAGTAATGGAGTATAGCTAACAATAAATCAATTAGATGATGTCTTAGTGCATTTTCTGCTGCTATAACCAAATACCACAAACTGGGTAATTTATAAAGAACAGAAGTTTATTTGACTCACAATTATGGAGGCTGAGAATTTTAAGAGCATGACACTGGCATCTGGCAAGGGTCATAACATGATGGAAAGGGAAGTATGACAGAGAAAATGGGGGTCAAACTTATCCTTTTATCAGGAGCCCAGCCTTGAGATAAGGACATTAATCATTTCAAGAGAGTGAAGCCCTCATGATCAAATCACCTCTTAAAGGCCCCACCTGTTAATACCATCACAATGGCAATTAAGTTTCTAACACATGAACTTTTGGTAACATATTAAAACCATAGCATATGGTGTTTTGAGCTGAATGCTGTCATCATATAATTACGTACGTTGGAAGTCCTAAGGCCCCAACATCTCAGAATGTGACCATATTTGGAGATAGGATCTTTAGGAATAATCATGTTAAAATGAAGTTATCAGGATGGAGCCTAATCCAGTATAACTAGTGTCCTTACAAGAAGAGGAAGTGCTACACAGACGTGTAGAGAGCAAATACAGTGTGAAAACCTAGGGAGAAGATGGTGGTCTCCAAGCCAAGGAGAGAGGCTTCAGGGAAACTAACTCTGCTGATGCCTTGATCTGGGACTTCTAGCCTCCAGGACTGTGAGAAAATACATTTCTGTTATTTAAGCCACCCAATTTGTTGTACTTTGCTCTGGCAGAAGCCCTAGAAGATTAACACAGATGGCAAAAAATGTGCTGCATCTCTTGAGAATAGTATGGTCTCTGGCTTCTGCATTACCTTTCTGCATGCATTCACTTAAAGAAGCCCCCTGTTACTGGGCTTTTCCCCCCATAGTCCAGTTGCTGCAAAATATCTTCTTTACTATAAAGATAAAATTAAAAAAAGAAAATTTCTGTAAAAATGCCCATAAGTCTTTTAAAACTTAGCATAACAGTCTAGTCTATCCAGCTATTTGATCATTCAAATAAACAGTAATTTTTGTTACATTACAATATTAAAATGCCTCCACATCCATTATCACTATTTTTCACAAATGCCATATTTGAAGGGACAGGCAAATTTTATTTTCTGTTTGTATAGGTGAGAAATTCAGACTCCACTGGTGTTATAAATGAGAAAATATTGCTCTTGAGTGACTTACAGCGGCCCACAAAGCCAGTATACAGAACTGTACTTAATCAAGGTATTTTGATTTCAAATTCAGTTGATTTTCTTGTCTACTCTATTACCCAATCCTTTATCTTAAAATCTTTATGTCTTTACTAATATCTCTCAGTGTGATATTCTTGCAATATTCATTAGTCTCTCATGGTATTAATTTAACGTTTTGCTAATACTACCTAAAATGATGTAAAATGGAACAGAATAGATCAAAGTATACTATAAGAGTTAAGGGTAAATATTCCTTCTTGACATTTTGCTTCTGTTTTATTTGTGCAATTTTTGCATCTATGTAAATACTTGGTTATAAAATAAAACCTAAATCTCTTACTGTAGATTATAGGAAGAAAATATCTTAAAACCATTCTCATGGTATATTTTCCTAAAAATCGATTTTTAAAAGTTCTTTCTAATGGTTTGGGTTTTTGCATATGCCTTTTAAGCTTTATTGGCTTAATTAGAAGGCAAAGGCCTTGAGATGAATACTGCTGCTTATTACTCCTCCCTCATAGAGTGTTGAACTTGAAGGAGTTCAGGGTACACCACCCCAAAATATGCCGCTCAGAACATATATGCCACTGGCATATGAATAATTTTGAGCTAAAAGCACTTAACAAACAGCAGGTGTGAGATCACTCTGACCTTCCTTCTGTTTCTTAAAAGTTGGAGGTAAAATTCTCATGTGAAAAATGCCCTCCCTCTACTAGAAGGAAAGCAACATTCTTATTATTAAAAACTCAAAGTTAAAACTGAGAGAATTCTGCACAGATCTTGTTAAAATAACTCTTATCTTCTAGTTTCCCCATATAATTTAGTTGCTTCTTCACAATATATTATTTTTTCTCCAATTCAGTAAGTATTCAACCCTGCGTCTTTGGGTCTCCGTTTCCTTAATGGAGGAAAGAAGTCTTCTCTTAAGGAAAGAAGTCTCCTATGCCATGTAAAACTTGTATTAAATAAATTTGTATGCTTTTTTTTTCTGTTGATCTATCTTATGGAAACCTATTCATCAGGCCCAGCCAAAAAAAAACCACTAAGAGGGTAAAGGTAAAGTCTTGCCTGCCCTACACAGTGGTGTTAGACACATGAGGAATGGTGACTGAATGACTTGGATATGAGACAGTTGGCTGTGGAATTTATTGCAATTATTCTGATGTATTACTACTTTTGTTTCATGTATTTCCATACTGAAAGATAGATGAACTCCACAGTGACAGTATCCAGGTAGTAGTTTGTTATTTTGAATAATAAGCCCTTTTTCCTTTGGCCATGGTCCCCTATTTTTATATTTATCTATAAAGTTTATAAAATGTTCAAAGGAAAGAGTCCAAATATTTCTTCTGGTTATATAATAACCATATTTTCATGAATTGGTATGGACTTTGCTTTTTATTCTCTTGCTTTCCATAGTTTGCAAGAAAATTTTTAAATAATACAGTATTAGTTTGCTAGGGTTGTCATAACAAAGGACCACAGACTGGGTAGCTTAAGTAACAAAAATTTACTTTCTCACAGTTCTGAAGGCTTGAAGTATGAGATTAAGCAGGTGTTGGCAGAGTTGGTATCTTCTGAGGCCTCTCCTCTTGACTTGGAGATTATTTTCTTCTCTCTGTTTTCACATGGTCTTTTCTTTGTACACAACTGTATACAAATTTCCTCTTCTTATAAAGACACCAGTTATATTGTATTAGGGGCCTCACTAATCAGTTCATTTTAACTTAATTAAAGACTCCATAAAGATTATTCCAAATACTGTTACATTCTGAAGTAGGATAGAATTAGAGCTTCAGCATCTGTATTTTGGGGGGATTATAATTCAGCACATAACAGATACTGATAGCCTAAAATGTTAAGCTCTCATAAAGACAGAACTTTTAAAAAAATCATTCTAATTTTTAAATCACATTGAAAAATTTATATATTGATATAAATTAGTACTACTATTTCATATATATTTATACATGTACATTTTAAAATAATCCTCTTTTATACTGTGATGATTAATTTTATGTGTCAACTTTGCTAAGTTACAGTACCCACATACTTGGTCAAACATTATTCTAGATGTTTCTATGAAGGCATATTTTTAGATGGGATTAACATTCAAATCAGTAGACTTAAGCAAAGTTGATTGCTCTTCATAATGTAGGTGGGCCTCATCCAATCAGTTGAAGACCTTAGTAGGAAAGTACTTATCTCTCTCAGTGAAGAGGGAATTCTGCCTGCAGACTGCCTTTGGGCTAGAACTACAACTCCTTCTTGGGTGTTCAGCCTGCCAGCCTACCCTGCAGATTTTGTGTTTTTACACCCATAATTATGGGAGCCAATCTTTGAAGTCTCTCTCTCTCTCTCTCTCTCTCATACACACACACATCTCCTATTGATCTGTTTCTGTAGAGGACCCATACTAATACACACACACACACATACACACACACACACAGACACACACACACACACACACACACACACACACAGTCCATTTATAACTCAAAATTAATCCTGAAGGCAAAAACTTCTATATAGACAAATTGAGAAAATTGCCATTAGAGAAATACCAAACTAGAATGATTGGCTTTAGATTATGATCCAAATATCAATAAAGCACAGTTGTGTTACAGGAGAGGAAAAGAGGTTTGCCAGTCAATACCTGCCACTGGAAAAAGCTAGTTCAGGTATTTGATGATTCAAATATTAAAGAAGTTAACTGGCTTTTCAATTAATATATAAAAGCATATTGCAAAGAGACAGGGATGAAAAAACATATATGCATACTTATACATACATACCTGGGACGTAAATACTATTATTAGTAGAATCAATATTTTAAAATTTATTTTAAAATATTAGAAAACTAGAGGAAACTTCAGAATTTCAACCAAAAATAATTCCAACATTGTTAAAAAAAAATTGTCCCATCAGAGAAAGATGGCAGAATAGAAGTCTACACCATTTGTCCCCACTGCTGGAACACCAGATTTTAACAACTGCACACAGAAAAGCACCATCACAGGAACAAAAAATCAGGTGAGGGGAGCAATAACAGTATCCGTTTTTAACTTCCTGTGATGGAAAGAGGCATTGAGGAGGTCAGAAGAGACAGTCTTAAATCCCTGACGCCACTCTTTCCCATCATCTCCAGTGGCCATGCAGCACAGAGAGATAATTTGTACATTCTAGGGAAAGAGAGCACAGCAACTGAAGGACCTTACATTGAACACAGCGCCACCCTGTCACAGCAGAGAATAAAGCTGTGTTGGGCTCAGCCAGTGCCCTTGCAGAGGGAGCATTTGGACCTGGCCTAGCCAGAGGGGAACTGCCCAACCCAGCAGTCAGCAATTGAGTTTCTTGGCAAGCTTCGCCACTGTGGAACAAAGTGCTCTTGGGTCATAGGTAAACTTGAATCCTACCCCTAGTCCTTGTCTAGAACACAAGGACTTCAGTTCCTAGACAATACCTCATGCTAGGCTAGGCATAGAGCCAGTGAGCTTGTCTGGCAAGGTTAAGGGAGGGCTCGCACCATTCCTTCCCCAACCCCAAGCAGTGCAGCTCATAGCAACAAAAGTAACTCCTTCCTTCTGCTTAAAGAGAGGAGGGTGTAGACTAAAGAAGACTATGTCTTGCTTTTTGGATACCAGCTCAGCCACAGTAGAAGGCATAGGGCAGAGTAGATGCATAGGGCAGAGTCATGATGCCCCCATTCCGGGCATTAGCTCCCAGATGATATTTCTAGACACAACCTGGGCCAAAAGGAAACCTACTGCCTTGAGTGGAAGAACCCATTTCTGGCAGGTTTTATCACCTGCTGACTAAAGAGCTCTTGAGCCCTGAATAAACATCAGTGATACCTAGGGAGTATACCCTGGGCCTTGTGCTCTGAGATATTCTGGAGACCTAGCACATTCCCAGCTATGATAGCTACAGTGAAAGACCCATTCTGTTTGAGAAAAGTCAGGGGAAAAGTGTGACTTTTCTTCCATCCTAGGACCAGCTTGTCCACAGTGGATTAGAGCAACAAGCGGACTCTTGGGGTTTTTGACTCTAGGCCTAGGCTCTTGGGCAGCATTTCTGGACCTACCCTGGGCCAGAAGGGAGCCCATTGTCCTAAAGGGTGAGTCCCAGGCCTGGCAGCATTCATCACAAGCTGCCATAAGAGCCCTTGGGCTCTAAGCAAACATCAGGGGTGGCCTGATAGGACCCCCTGTGGACTGTTGGTGATGATGGTCACAGAAAAAGGCTCCTTTGCATATGGAAAGGGGAGGAAAGAGTGGGAGGGCCTTCGTATTGTGATTTGAGTGCCAGCTTAGCTGCAGTAGAATAAAACATCAGGTAAACTGCAAATTTTTTATTCCAATTCCTGACTCCCAGATAGAATCTCTGGGCATGCTTGAGGCCTGGGAGAATTTGCCACCATGACAGGAAGGACCTTGGGCAAGACCCAACCCAGTGCTGTGTGGGCCTTAGGTCTGATCCAGCGCAGTCCCACTGGTGGTGGCCACAGGGGTGCTTGCATCCATACCCAAAGTTCCAGGTGGCTCAGACCAGAGAGAAAGAGACTCCAAATGTTTGTGAGAAAGTAAAGTAAAAGAACAAGAGTCTCTGCTTGGTAATCCAGAGAACTGTTCCAGATTTTGTGCAAGACCACTAAGGCAGTACCTCTATGAGTCTGCAAAAAAACACAGTGTTATTGGTCTTGGAGTCCAAGTCCCTATGAATACCTAGATAGCCTTCCAAAGAAGGACTGGCAAAACAAGCCCAGACTGTGAAGACTACAATAAATACCTAACTCTTCAATGCTCAGACTCTGAAGAACATATACAAACATTAACACCATCCAGAAAAACATGAGCTCACCAAATGAACTAAATAAAGCATGAGGGACAAATCCTAGAGAAACAGAGATATATAACCTTTATGACAGAGAATTAAAAATAGCTGATTTGGGAAAATTCAAAGTAACTCAAGATAACACAGAGAAGGAATTCAGAGTCCTATCTGATAAATTTAATAAAGAGATTAAAATAATTTAAAAGAATCAAGAAGAAATTATGGAGATGAAAAATGTAACTGACATACTGAAGAATGCATCAGAGTCTCTTAATAATAGAATTGATCAAGAAGAAGAAAGGATTAGTAAGCTTGAAGACAGGCTACTTGAAAATACACAGCCAGAAGAGACAAAAGAAACAAAAACAGTGAAGCATGCCTACAAGATTTAGAGAGTAGCCTCAAAAGGGCAAATCTAAGAGTTATTGGCCTTCAAGAGGAGGTAGACAAAGGGATAGGGATGGAAAGTTTATTCAAAGGGATTTCAGAGAAATTCTCAAATCTAGAGAAAAATATCAATATTCAAGTACCAGAAGGTTATAGAACACTGAGCAGATTTAAGCCACAGAAGACTACCTCAAGGCATTTAGTAATCAAACTCCCAAAGGTCAAGGATAAAGAAAGGATCCTAAAAGCTGCAAAGAAAACAAACAAATAATATACAATGGAGCATCAATACTCCATTATTGCTGAAAAGTCTGATGGCAGACTTTTCAATAAAATCTTACAAGCCAGGAGAGAGTAGCATGACATATTTAAAGTGCTGAAGGAAAAAGACAAATTTACCCTAGAATAGTGTATCCTTTAAGAATGAAGGAAAAATAAAGACCTTCTCAAACAAACAAAAGCTGTGGGATTTCATCAACACCAGACGTGCCATGCAAAGAAATGCTAAAGAGTTCTTTAATCTGAAAGAAAAGGATGTTAAAGAACAAGAAGAAATGATCTGAAGATACAAAACTCACTGGTAACAGTAACATCACAGAAAAACACAGAATAGTATACCTCTAATTGCAGTGTGTTATAAACTTCTTTTGACTCAAGTAGAAAGACTAAATGATGAACCAATCAAAAATAATAACTGCAACAACTTTTCAAGACATAGACAATATAGTGAGACATAAATAGAAACAACAAAAGGTAAAAAACTAGTGGGATGTAGTTAAAGTAGAATTTTTATTAGTTTTCTTTTTGTATTCTTGCTTGCTTATTTACACAATCAGTGTTAAATTGTCATCAGTTTAAAATAATGAGATATAAGATAGTAGTTGCAAACTTCCTGGTAATCTCAAATAAGAAAAACATACAATGGATACACACACACAAAGCAGGAAATTAAAGCATACCACCAGAGAAAATCACCTTCGCTAACAGAAATACAGGAATGAAGGAAAAAGGGAAGAGGAGACCACAAAACAACCAGAAAACAAATAACAAAATGGCAGGAGTAAGTCCCTACTTATTAATAATAACATTGAATGTGAATGGAATAATCTCTCAAACAAAATACTTGGAGTGGCTGAAGGGATGAAAAAGCAAAACCTAATGATATGTTGCCTACAAGGAATACACTTCATTTATAAAGATACACATAGACTGAAAATAAAGGTATAGAAAAATATTCTATGCCAATGGAAACTAAAAAAGAGCAGGAATAGCTATATTTACATCTGTCAAAATAGATTTCAAGACAAAAACTGTGGGAAGAGACAAACGAGGTCATTATACAATAATAAAGGGGTCAATTCAGCAACAGAATATAATGAATGTAAATATATATGCACTCAATACTGTATCCCCCAGACATATAAAGCAAATACTATTAGAGCTAAAGAGGGAGATAGACCTAATACAATAATAGCTGGAGACTTCAACAACCCACTTTCAGCATTGGAGATATCTTCCAGACAGAAAATTAACAAAGAAACATTGAACTTAATCTTAGCCATAATAAAATGTCTGCCAGCAAAGAAAAAGCCTAAGAACTGATGGCTTCATAGCTGAATTTTTATGAGCATTTATAAAAGAACTAATACCAATCCCACTCTGACTATTCCAAAACCTAGAGGGGGAGGGAAATTCATTCAATGAGGTCAGTATTATGCTGATACCAAAATCCGACAAAGACACATCAAAAAAAGAAAAGGTCAATATCTATAGGTGAATATCCTGATAAATGTTGATGCAAAAATCCTCAACAAAATACTAGCAGACTAAATTAAACAAAACATTAAAAAGATCATTCATCATGACCAAGTGGGATTTATCTCAGGGATGTAAGGATGGCTCAACAAATGCAAATCAATCAATGTGATACATTGTATCAAAAGAATGAAAGATACAAGCCATGTGATCATTTCAGTTGATGCTGAAAAAACATTTGATAAAATTTTACATCCCTTTGTGATAAAAACCATCAAAACATTGTGTATGGAAAAAACATGCCTCAACATAATAAAAGCCACATATGACAGACCCATAGTATCATGCTGAATGGGGAAACACTAAAAGCCTTTCCTCTAAGATCTGGAAAAAGACAAGGATGCCCCATTTCACCACTATTATTCAACATAGTACTGGTAGACTTAGCTGGAGCAAACAGACAAGAGAAAGAAATAAAGGGAATCAAAATTGGAAAGGAAGAATTCAAATTCTCCTTGTTTGCAGATGATACAATCTTATATATGAAAAAACCTAAAGACTCCACATGAAAACCATTAGAACTGATAAATTCAACAAAGTTGCAACATAGAACATCAACCTACAAAAACCAATAGCATTTCTATATTCCAGCAGTGAACAGTCTGAAAAAAGAAATCAAGGAAGTAATCCTATTTATAATAGCTGCAAATAAAATTAAATAACTAGGAACTAAGTTAACCAAAGAAGTGAAAGATCTCTATGGTAAAAACTATGAAATGCTGATGACAGAGATTGAAGAAGACACACACAAAAAATGGAAATATATTCCATGTTCATGGATTGGAAGAATCAACACTGTAAAAATGTTGATACTACCAAAAGCAGTATATAGATTCAATGCAATCCCTATGAAAATACCAAGGACATTCTTCACAGAAAAGGAAAAAAAAATCGTAGAGTTTATATGGAATTACAAACGACCCAGAATAGCCAAAGATATCCTGAGCAAGAAGAACAAAACTGGATGAATCACATTACCTGACTTCAAATTATATGACTGAGATATAGTAGCCCAAACTGCATGGTACTGGCATAAAAACAGACACATAGGCCAATGGAACAGAATAGAGAACCCAGAAACACATCCACACACCTACAGTGAACTTGTTTTCAACAAAGATGCCAAGAACATACATTGGGGAAAAGGCAGTCTCTTCTATAAATGGTGCTGGGAAAACTGGATATCTATATGCAGAAGAATTAAACTTCATCCCCATCTCTCACCTTATACAAAAATCAAATTAAAATTCATTAAAGACTTACATCTCAGACCTTAAACTATGAAACTACTACAATAAAACACTGGAGAGGACCCACAGACCCTCTGAAGGAAGTGGACTGCTCCTGCAGGACCCAGGAGACACCCCAAATACTGTGAGTGCCCCAACCACAGAAGTGGGAAAGGGAGACCCTCCTCTCCTGAACACATACCCCTACAAGAGAAGCTGAAGGTCTGTTTGACAGAGAAGTTCCCAACTTCACCTGGAGCCGAGTCAAGTTAGAGAGCTGAGGTGAGTGAAATACAGGAGTGTAGGAGACAGTAGGGAGGCGCTGGGAGCTCGCTGAATCCCTAGGCAGCCCATTCCTTCCTGGCACCAACAGGGATCCATCAGGAGGGAGGCCAGAGGAGCAGACGGTAAAAATCCTGGGTTTAGATACTGATGGGACATAACACTGAATAACTTTCATGCTAAGGCATAATCCCTGTTACACGTTAAGAAATGTACATGTATGTGTGTGTGTATTTATTCAAGTCATAATTACCACTTGTTGAATGTTTTTCATTGCCCCAGCCAATATAAACAATGTTAAGACATGCCTAGCACACAGTATGTTTGAAGTGGACAGACTTTCAAGTCACATTCATGATCTCTACCTTCTTATTTAATCCCCTCCCCTTGCATGTGGAGAGAAGCTGTGACTTGCTTTTAACCACCAGATTATGGCAATAGTGATGGGATGTCACTCCCTTGATTACATTACAATATGAAGGACTCCATATTGCTGGTAGACTTCACCTGCTTTGAAGACTTTTTCCTTTGTTGTCTTTGAAGAAGTGAACTGCAATGTTAGTAGGCTTATATGGCAATAAGCTATGGAAAAGTTGCTGAGAGCAGTCTCTAGCCAACAGCCAGCAAGAAGCTGTGGTCCTCAGTTTTATGGCCACAAGGAAATAAATTCTGGCAATGGCATGAGTGAGCTTGGAAGTGGGGCCTTTCTTCATTTGTGCCTCCAGGTGAGAACCCGGCCTGGCAGAGAACCTAACTAACTTGTGTCCAGATTCCTGATATACAGAAACTGTGAGATCATAAATATGCATTTTTATAAGCCACTAAACTTGTGGTAATTTTATGTTGAATAGAAAACTAAAATAATGTGTTAGGTAATTTTCAGGTTTTTTTTGTTTTAATTGTTTTTCCCCCTCCACCAAGTTAGTTACCAGGATCCTCGTTAAACCTCTGCTTTAGAGACCTAGGATAAGTCAATTATAGTGTTGAAACAGAAATGATAAAAAATTCTTAGATGAAATATTTTCTTTAATCTCTTAAAAGGGAGTGGAACTTACATCCAGACTGTATCTTCTTCCTGAAGACCTTCTTTGTCGTCACTCTCCTTTGGTAGAGGAGAATAAAGACTTTAAAAATGGGAAGGAGTGAACAAAATTTCCTACAGAAGCATTTAGCCCCAGGTCTCCTTTGACTTTTTCATGCCTTTGAGAATGATCTCGACTTGACCTTTGACTCTATGTTACTACTTCACTGACTTTCTACAAGATCTCCAGGACAGGCACGACTGAACAAATGCCCATGTAGGAAAGTATAAGAATATGTATCTTTCTATTTCACTTGGATTTCTCATAATTTTTTTAAATCTCAGTATCATCTCAACTGACCACAACCAACAAAAATATTTACTTTGGTCAAGAAAGACAGAAGATTTCAGCAATAGTTCTAAATTATACATGGAGAACAAGAAGAAATAATTCTAGCCTATAAAACTAGGCTGAACTCTTGGCATTTCCATGAATCTGTGGAAGAATATGTCAAACAATTTTGGGAAAAATGTTAATGTTTCATTTTTTGACCAGCATAATTTCTTTTATAATTTTATGCTATATTATTGACTTTGTTTTGCTATTCGTTTTTTAAATAATCTTTATCAAAAGATGAGTTATATATAATAAAAGGTCCCCAGTTTAAAAGTACAGTTATTGTATTATTTTAGCAAATGTATACAGTTGTATATCCATCACAATAATCAAGATATGAAATATTTTATCACCTCCTAAAGTTCCCTAATAGTTATTTTAGTAAGTCCTCCCTATCAGCCAAATACAAGTCTGTCTGCTGTCTGTAACTACAGATTAACTTTGCCTGTTTTTGTATTTTATATAAATAAAATTGTGCAGTATATCGTCTTTCGTGTCTGTCTTTTTTTGTTCGGAAAAATGTTTTCAAAATTTATCTGTTATTACGCTGCACTTTTATTGCTGATTAGTATTCTTTTGTTATATCATACTATTTATTTGTTTCGTTATATCAAGCTCTTCAGGTATATTATTGGCTCCATCTATGGTAATAAACTTGCTGTGAGCATTTACATAAAAGTCTTTATCTAGATATATGTTTTTATTTCTATTTGGTACATACCTAGGAGTGGAACTGCAAGGTCAAAGCTAAGAGGGTGGTTAATTTTATAAAAAACTGCCAAACTATTTTGTAAAATTGTTGTGTCATACATACAAGTCTTTGTCTAGATACATGTTTTATTTCTATCTGGTACATACCTAGGAGTGGAACTGCAAGGTCAAAGCTAAAATGTGGTTAATTTTATAAGAAACTGTCGAACTATTTTGTAAAATGGTTGTGTCATTTTACATTCTCAGTAGCAATGTATGACAGTTACACTTCTTATTTGTCAACACTTGGTACTAGTCAGTCTTTAATTTTAGCCATGCTAGTGGCTATGTAGTGGCATCTTATTATAGTTTTAATTTGCATTTCATTGACAATTAATGATGCTGAGAATCTTTCCATGTGCTTATTGGCCATACATGTATTTCTTTTCTTTTCTCTTTTCTTTTCTTTCTTTTTTGAGACAGGATCTTACTCTGTCACCCAGGCTGGAGCATAGTGGCACAATCTCAGCTCATTGCAACCTCTGCACCCACCACCCACACCTCACTCAAACGATCTTCCCACCTCAGTTTCCCAAGTAGCTGAGACTGCAGGTATGTGCCACCAGGCCCAGCTAATTTTGTTTGTTTGTGTTTTTCTTGGTATTTTTTGTAGAGATAGGTTCTCACCATGTTGCCCAGGCTGGTCTCAAACTCCTGAGCTCAAGTGTGCCCACCTTGGCATCTCAAAGTCCCAGGATTACAGGTGTGAGTCACCACACCTGGCCATACATGTATTTTTTATTGTGAATCACCCTTTAAAATATTTTGTACATTTTAAATTGTCTCCTAATTGTTAAAAAGTTGTATATTTTATATACAAGTCATTTGTCAGACTGTGGTATTGAGAGTATTTTCTCCTTGGCTTTTTTTAATGATGTGTTCTGAAGAGCACAAGTTCTTATTTTTAATAAAGTACCATTTATCAAGTTTGTACACTTAATCTTTTGTGTCCTAATATATCTTTGCGTATTCCAAAGTTATTAATATTTCATTATGTTTTCTTCTAGAAATTTTTATTGATCTTTTGTCCTCCGTTTCTTATTAGCAATTTTAGTATTCAAAGATCTACAATAAGCATTTACTAAAGATTATTTCTTCATAGTCAAATAATGGTGATTTGACTAGATGATTAACCTATATTTATGAATAAATTCAATCTTTTGCCTTCTAACATATAACAGAAAACTACTCTTTGAATTTCTAATAATTATTTTATTTTTAAATGGTGCTTTCTATTGTAATCTATACTCAATCTATACTCAAGTAACTTATATCATCATAAAACTTCTAAGAAAACAGTCCTCAAATAAAGCTGCATAATAACCAGCTTCATTTATTGGTGAATGAAACTAAGCCTAGTGAGTATTCTGTACCTCAATCTAACTTAAAGTTCTAGAAAGCTCTTTTAATGCCATAGATGATAAATATGTTGCAAACTCTATTGAACTTAATAGAAAAGAACAAAATTGTAAATTATAATCCAGTAATGAGTTATATAATTCTTCATTAATCAATTATGTTAGTATATTTTTGTTGACAACAACAGCCATCCATATTTTACTTGGCATGAGAAGATGAGTAGAAGATTAGTTACAAAAGCTTCAAAACATATGTTCATTTCCTACCTATCTGAAAATATAGAAAACATATATTCCTGATGGTTGAGAAGACATGCTGAAATTTTTGCTCAAGCACTTAGCAGAGGCCTTGGATGTCATATTTATTTGACAATTACCATATATAGAATACACATTATTGTTCAATGGTATCTTCATTCATGTTTTCTCATTTTAAAACAATCCTGTGAGATCAGTGCTTACATGTTTGTTAAGTAATTCTAGACAATTTTAATACATTTTGTCAGTAGATAATTTGATATTTATGTATAATAACAAAGAGAACACAAAGCAAAAGAAAGGTCTCTATAAAATGATATTAGTCTAGTTGAGTAGCCAGCATAATATATATCTCTATTGAAATCTATTGAAATTGAACTGATAATTCCACCAGCCTGTGGAAGTGAAGTCCTATAATATTTTTAAAAAGCATAATGACTAAATTCATTGCTTTTTTAATACTTATGTTTCATTTCGCTACATGGAAATGACTTTAAATTTGTCATCAAGTTTTCTTTGATATTTATTTCAAATAATTTCTAAATATAAATAAATAACAGCAGTTTTCCTCAAAATAACTTTTTATATCACAGATTTTCATTTATTGCTATGTAAAGGCATGGTGTCTTCAATGTTTACATTTGGGAAATATAAAATTACAAAATTTGTAACTACATACAGCCTCGTTGTGAGTAACCCTGGCCCCTGAGTCTCACAATCTCTTCAATTATCATTTTGATTTTATTCCACTGAATCTAGAAACTCTGCATTATGCCTCAAGGTGCTCTTATTAGGAAGGTAAACGTGTAAATATTATTTTTCCCACAATGCATATGAAAAAGAAGTTCAGCAAAATAAAATGACTTATTCCAAGGCGTAGAGCTCAGTCCAAATAAGAATGCTTTATTTCCTAATTTTCTAGAGACCTAATAAGTGCAATGACCCAGTAATATATTTTATCTTTCATTTGTGCCATTAAAATAGGATTGTTTTAAAATATTTTCCAATTATTTGCTATTTATAAAAATAAAAATTTTATATGTGTTACATTTGTATTTTGTGACCTTGCTAAATTATTACTTTTATTGGTTACTTTGTGGATTCCCTTTTTTTTTTTTAAGATCATATCATCTAAAACTGGAAATAATTTCCCTCCTTTCCTTCCTTTCTTTCCTTCCTTCCCTCCCTCCTTCCCTCTCCCCGTTCTTTCCTTCCTTCCTTCCTTCCTTCCTTCCTTCCTTCCTTCCTTCCTTCCTTCCTCCCTCCCTCCCTCCCTCCCTTCCTTCCTTCTTTCCTTCATCTCTCTCTCTCTTTCTCTCTCTCTCCCTCTTCCTCTCTCTGTTTTTTTTGCCTCATTGTAATAATTAGGGATGCTAGCGTAACATTAATTGAAATGAGAAATACCATATTTTTTTCCTTATTCCTGATTTTTGGAGATCAAAACTTCGCTGTTAAGTATAATATTAGCTATAGGGTTTGTGTAGAAACACCTTATCAGATTGAAAACTTCATCAGATTGAATAAATTTCCTTTTATTTCATGATTTACTGAGAATTTTTATTTGTGAATGAATTTTGAATTAAAATAAAATTATTATTTTGATATGTTTAATTTTTAATGGATGTTGCATTAAAATGCTTTTCTGCATCTACTGAAATAGCTTATTTTATTCTATTAATATGGTGTGTTTAGTAGAATTCTTATATGGCTCACAAATGTCCTAGCCTCTGGTATGTACATGCCTTCTAGTAATTATTCAGTTAAATGCTAATATAAGAGTCGCTGTAAAGGGATTCTGTAGATGTAATTAAGATCCCAAATCAACTGACCTTAAAACAGGGAAATTATCTGGGTGGGCCTGACCAAATCAAATAAGCCCTTTAAATCTGACAGAGAAGTCAGAATGATTCAAAGAGTGATTAGGATTTGACAAAAGTTCTCAGTGCTGGTGTGGAAGAGGTGGAGGTCTTGTAATAAGGAACCCGGGAAGTCCCCAGCTACTAACGCCAATCTATGGCTGCCAGCCAGCAAGGAAAGGGGACCTCAGTCTTAAGACTCAAAGAAATTATATTTTGCTAACAATCTTAGTAAGCTTGTAAGTGGATTTTTTTTTCCCTGAATCTCCAGATGAGAACTCAGTCTGGGGAAAACCTTGATTTTTGACTTTGAAGTCCCTAACAGAAAATCCAGCTAAGCCACGTCTGGGCTGCTAACATACAGCACTGTGAGCTAATACAATTCAATAAGTACATGGATAAATAAACTGTGATGCATTAGTACAATGGAATGTTATTCAGTAATTTTTAAAGGGCCGAGCTGTATGTGGTAAATCTCTGAACTTTTTACTAAATTTTGCTGTGAACCTAAAACTGCTCTAAAAATCTATTTTAAAAAATGAACTATTGAGCCACCAAAAGATTTTGGGGTACACTAAGTGCATTTTGCTAAATCAGAAGTCAGCTGAAAAATCTTTATGTTCTGTATGATTTCAACTCTATTATATTCTGAAAACCCAAAACTATAAGACAGTAAAAAGATCATTAGTTCCAAAATTTCAGGGGGAAGGAGAAAAGATGAATAGGTGTAGCACTGTGGGTTTTTAGGACAGTGAAACTATTGTGTATGATACTATAAATGTAAACATATGATGTTATGCATATGTCAAAATCCGCAGAACTGTACAACACAAAGAATGAACTCTAATGAAAACTATGGACTTTGGGTAATAATAATGTATCAATATTGGTTCATCAGTTGTGGCACAAGTACCACACTAAAGCAAGATGTTAATAATAAGAGAAGCTCTGTGCATGTGATGGGACAGACGGTATAGGGAACCCAGCACAATTTTTCTCTGAACCTAAATCAGCTCTAAAAGATTAAGTCTATTTAAAAAATAATAATAAATAAATTGAAAGGTTAAAATACTTAATACTTTAGAAATTAATAATTTACCTCTTAAGCTAATATTTACCTTACATAAATGTAAAAACTTTGCACCTTAAAGATTCATTTACCACTTCCATCACCGCTGATAATGTAAATGGTGTGCATACTACATCTACATGCATTATAAATTCCATAAGATGATCCTATAAATTTTGTTTCAACAACACATGTAATTTAAATAAGAGGAAATATATTTTTTATATTTATTCACATATCAAAATTTTCCAATGATCTCTATTAGTGTTTCAAGGACTGAATTTCACACTGCTCTCATTTTCAGCTAAATAACTTTTATTTTTATTTATTTATTTAGAGATGGAGTCTCGCTCTGTCACCCAGGCTGGAGTGCAGTGGTGCGATCTTGGCTCACTGCAAGCTCTGCCTCCCGGGTTCAAGTGATTCTCCTGCCTCAGCCTCCTGAGTAGCTGGGACTACTGGCGCATACCACCACACCTGGCTAATTTTTTGTATTTTTAGTAGAGATGGGGTTTTACCGTGTTAGCCAGGATGGTCTGTATCTCCTGAACTCGTGATCCGCCTGCCTCGGCCTCCCCAAGTGCTGGGATTACAGGCGTGAGCCACTGTGCCTGTCAACTTTAATTTTTTAATAGCATTTTCTATAGCATAGTATAATGGAAAATTTTCTTAATTTTTATTTATCTGAAAATACCTTTATTTCACCTTTATTCTAGAAGGATAATTTATTTGGCTAGACACAAGATTCTGGATTTCCATTTTTCTTTTTCTTTCCTTTCTTTTTTTCTTTTTACCACCACTTTAGAGATATTTACCACGGTCTTCTGGCCTCAATACTTTTTGAGAAATCTTTATTCATTCAAATATTTGTCCCCTTAATGCAGTATTTCATTGTTCTCTGACTATGAAAATTTTCACTTTCTCATTGGTTTTCAGTAGTTTAGTTTGAATACACCTATGTGTTGTTCTTATTTATTCTGCTTCGGATGTTCTGAGCTTATTGAGTCTGTGTGTGTAAGTCATTAACCAAATTTAAGAAGTGTTCAGCCATTATTTTTTAAACTTTTTTTTCTGCCCCATTCTCTCTCTTCTTCTGCCTCATTCTCCCTCTTCGTCTGCACCTTCAATTATATTTACGTCGGACATTTCAATATAGTGTCACAGTTACCTAAGGTTCTGTCCATGTTTTCTTCATTTTTGTTTTCTCCTACTCAGGTGGATAAACTCTATTAATTCATTGTGAATTTCACTCTATTTCTCTGTCATCACCATTCTATTATTCTACAATTAGGCTTATCTGGTGTTGTTATTTGTGTGTTTTGAGATGCATTTTTCAGTTCTTAATTTACTTTGGTTCTTTTTAATGTTTTCTATTTCTCCGTTAAAATGTAGTCACTTTTGATTCATTATTAATGAAGTTTCTTTTGCCTAATTTGCATGATCATAATAGCTACTCTAAAGTTTTTCTCTAAAAATTTCAATACTTGCTATTATCTTGGGATTACCCTCTCTTGATTTTGTTTCTATTGAGAGTAGGTCAATTTTCCTGGTTCTTCATATGTTGAGTAATTTTGTATTTTGTATTGTGACGTTTTGTTGTGAGGACTCTGGATTCTGCTATAGTCTCCTGAAGAGTGTTGATATTTTTGATTTAGCAGGCAATTGCATTGGATAGACTCCAATTATAAACTCTCAGCTTAGGGTACATGGTAATTAAAGTCTCACTTCAGACTGCATGAAGTCCGACTGGTAAATGTGTAATTGAGGAACAGAAACACATGGGTCAAATATATACCTGACTCATTTTTTTTTAGTCATTTGACTCCCCTTCTTGGCTCATTTTTTTTTTTCTGAGTTTCCCTCCTCATACCTATCTCCACCACTACTCTCTGGCAGTGCTGGTTGCTACAAGCTTCTTTCCCATGTTCTTTAACCTAGAAAGATATCTAGCTAATTCCTGAGGCTGTAGCCACTCTGCACCCTCCTGCAAGTGTTGCTGCCTTCAGAGCAAAGATGAAAAGTTAAAAAAAATTATGCTTGACTGGTTGCTTTCTACAAGTTTGGACTTGTTTCTGGAATCTGCCTACTTGTTCAAAATATTAATAGCATATGATATTATAAATTAATGATTAGTTTTATGTATTGCAGAAAATATTTAATTATGCTGATTTTTCCTAATATATTTTTATGTTTACAATTTGACTTAGTAAAGGATGAAAACAAAGTAGCAAAATAATGACATATACCTTGCAAGTTTGTTATAAAGCGTAAATAAGATAATGCATATAAAGTGCTTAGCGGAACATTATACATAAAATAGGTTTTCAATAGATGGTGGATCCTTATCTTTGGCCTTAAGTTGATGCCAATGTTGTCATTATTTGTTCATTTTTATCATAAATCCAAGAAAGAACATCGTTGGCTCTACTGACAACGGAATATTGAAGGAGTAACTTCGTATTCCCTCTCATATTAGGGAAAGCTTTTAAAATTTTAAATGTCTATTCAAGTCTTCTGGACTGATGGCCTCTTGGAAAGAAATTTGAATGGAAACTGTTCCACTGAAGAGACTCAGCAGGCCTCTAGTTCTGGAATAGTCTTTGGACTTTCTTAGAATTCTCAGTGTGAATAGATCAAGTTTTCGTTGACTTTTTTGTATTTCAACATTTTTTTCTTTCTTTTTTTTTTGAGACAGAGTCTCCTTCTGTCGCCCAGGCTCCGCTGTAGTGGCAAGGTCTTAGCTCATTGCAGACTCTGCCTCCTGGGTTCAAGCAATTCTCCTTCCTCAGCCTCCCCAGTAGCTGGCATTAAAAGTGCCCACCACCACGCCTGGCTAATTTTTGTATTTTTAGTGGAGACAGAGTTTAACTATGTTGGCCAGGCTGGTCTCCAACGAAATCCTGACCTCAAGTGATCTGTCCACTTTGGCCTCCCAAAGTGCTGGGATTACAGGTGTGAGCCACTGCGCCCAGCCAAGTGTTACAAAGTTTTTTACCTATATCTTCAGCTCTGATTAATAAACATTACACACTTGGCTGTATTGTTATATACCCAAAATTCTTATACCATTTTTAATTTGTTTTGCTTTCAGTTAGTAAAGTTTGATTTGGCTACTCACCAAGGGAGCAGACTTGATTGCAAAAATTCCTATAACTCTCTGTTGCATTTAGAGCTTGGAAATATAAATAGCTTGTGGGTGTATGTGTCCCCATGTGTATGCTTCTGCATGCTAGCTAACTGATACCTCTTTAAAGAATATTTGATCCATACACTCCAAGTAATTGGTTTTAGCTCAATGACTTGGAATGTATAGATGAAATATTATTTGAAGTCCCAATCTGTAAAGAAAATGTCTAATTACCTGTGGGTAATGAGAAATACAATTACACCATTGTATATTGTTCTGAGGAATACTTGCTATAAAGTTTTATCTAAATCAATGTATTTTAAACCTAATGCATTGTAATCAAAGCAGAACTCCACATGGTTAAGATTATAGAAATACCCATGTTCCATAAAGCCCTGAAATGGTCTTGGGACATGAAGTAGATTTTCTTCAGCAGAATTCAGAAGCTGGCCAGGAAACATAAATTGCTAAGAGACTGTAAAAAGCACATTGGAGTTGGGCCAGATATTACTCCTTGAATTAAAAGAGTAATTTGAAAATCAGGACACTACTTTATTTTTTAACCAATTGCTAACATTGGGATTTCAGATAGGGAGGAATATATTTTGATTAATTCTGCCCTTTTCAGAGGGAACCTGGCAGCATTGTCCTTCACCAGCTGGAGTTTATGTAAGGCCTTATGGAACAAGTCAGCCAACAGGGAGTTACAATAATCTAATCTTCGTGGCCTGGATACTGCCTTGCGTGAGCAGCTTGCATAAGTAAAGCATGTTTCAGTTTCCTGCTATGGAGTTGAGAACACAAAGGTATTGCACTGGTTTCCCTTGTGTGACTAGACTTCTCTGAGAAAGACAAGATCCTCATTTCTTTTATCTGACTAACTGATTTGAATATTCTGGGTAGAGAGAAAAGCAATAGAAGCTATTAAGATTAATGATACCTCTCTAATTATGCAATAAACCAGCCATGACCTTCTAAATTTAGGAGAGTTAAGGTTAGCAGTTTTCCACTGAGTTTGATTCATCCTGATTGGCACAATTTATAACAAAATGTAAATAACCAGGTTCATGCTGGTTATTTGGGATTTTGCCTTAATTGTTTTAATTTTTGTGCATCTGCCTTGCTTAGCGTCTTTGCTTGGCTAACAATTTAGTTTTTATTTATGTCTAGTGTTGGTTACCCTCTGGGAATAGCACATAAATATATAGGTTGTTTCATCTGGGATAGCCTTTAGAGTTGGGTCAATACTAAGTTTACCTCCATTCCCCATCCTTACCTCATGGATGGTTTCCAGAACAGTACCTATCATGGTGTACCTTATCCAAAATATTTATTGATCAGATGAAAATGTTCTTACAGAGGAGAAATATTTTTGTTGCATGGTGCATACTATGTAACAAAAATATATGAACGCTTAACTCTAACTTACGACATGGATCATTTGCTCCCCTGAAGATATAAGATGACTTTCTGACAAGTATACTCTTTGGAAATATTTCATACCAAAATGCAGTAACACATTAAGGAGCAATGGTATATAAAGTCACTTTGATTAGAATACATTTGCTTTTTGTCCTTTTCTAGGAGAAGGACTCAATTTTTCCCATTCTCTATTTAGGGCTTATTCTAGTTATTCTATTTAATCTGTTATAAATGTGGATAATATTGACATATATGGTTTTATACCATTATATTCAATCGAGTAGTTTGTATTTACCATGTAGACATTTTCTCTTGGAAAGGAAAAAATAAATCAGGCTCTTTGCTTTGGATTTTAAATATCACTTTCCTATACAGTAATAAGATATATTTGTGTTCAGCTAATGAGACATTGCTCTATTTTTGTTATACCTGTATAACATAATAATAAAACACTGAGATGCTAGATGATCTCAAGTTCTAATTAAAAAGAATCTTTTCCTCTTTCTAATGCCTTAACTCCCTGGGTTCACCACTACTTTGATTATCTTTATCTGAAAAACACTTGATTCACAAGTGTTTATTTTTGTTCGTTGGTTAATGTTGTAGAATTAGAAGCTTTTAAAATAAAGTGATGGCATGAAGACAGGAGACGCAGGAGTACCTTGATTACGCTTTCTGGAGGAACATCTTCTCCTCCCACACTTCTCATGGGAAAGATATAAACTGGGAGCAAGTAGCAATTTATTGTTAACTGGGATTATGATCTGAATCAGTTCTGAATTTCAGAATTTGCCGTGACAACTAACCACCAGCAAACAAAAACAAAACACCTGCATGGGGAAAATTGTATGAAAGAAATGATAGCAAGATGCCCTAGCAACTCCAGGCAACTTTACTACCTTTATACTACCTTACAGCTTGCTTCCAAATCCTAGCTATGACCACCTCAACTTCTGTTCAACTACTTGCTCCCTTGGGCCACACTCCAGCTCCTCTGATCAATTGAAATGACTTCTCCACCAAAGTAGTGCATCAGAACTGCTCTCTGAAGACAACCTCCTCTAGTTTCCATGGTTTCCCTGTTTCACTCTGTACACTTGGCTTTCAATATCAATCTTCCGGTGCTTAAATCTTCCGTTTTCTCCTAACTTTAGCTGTCTTCTATCTTCATTTTCTTCATTCAGATCCAATACCACCATCTATCACTTCAGTGACCTTTGGCGATTATCTTCAACTTCCTCAAACTTTCTCATATCCAATGATGTGACTTTCTCATGTAAACAATTTTATGACTCTTCTTGTCTTAAGATGAAGTTTCAACCCCTATACAGGTTTCAGAAGGCCCTTCTGATCTGGTCCTTTCTACTTCCCTCCTCTTCGCTTAATATTCCCCTTGTCACACAAACTCTTCCAGCCAAAATGACCCCATTTTATCCCCATTTCCTCTATCGTGTCCTTCCCAGGAGGTAAGAACCTCTTGGCTTTTTTTTTTTTTTTTTTGAGACGGAGTCTCGCTCTGTCACCCAGGCTGGAGTGCAGTGGCGTGATCTCGGCTCATTGCAAACTCCGTCTCCCGGGTTCACGCCATTCTCCTGCCTCAGCCTCCCGAGTAGCTGGGACTACAGGCGCCCACCAGCACACCCGGCTAATTTTTTTGTATTTTTAGTAGAGACGGGGTTTCACCATGTTAGCCAGGATGGTCTCGATCTCCTGAATTCGTGATCCGCCAGCCTCAGCCTCCCAAAGTGCTGGGATTATAGACGTGAGCCACTGCGCCCGGCTTGAACCTCTTGGCTTTTATGAAAGTTCTTCCTCTGCCAACATTATTGTTGGTTTCTGTCCTTTCCTCATGTAGCTAACTTCTACATACCACCTGTTCAGTTCTAGGAGGCATTTCCTGACTTCCACCTCTGCTTTCCTGCAGTACCGATGATTTATCTTATACTGGTATTTAGTAAGCTACATTGTAATTGACTCTTACATTGACTGTCTCCCTCAACAACAGTAAACACTGTGACACATCACTGTGTTCTCTGAGCTTACCACCATGGCCTACACATAGTGGGCACCCAATAAATATAGTTGAATATATCAATAAATTTCAGATCTCAACAGGTTATGTAATTGGTCCAACATCATTGTTCTATACTGGACTGACACACACTTTTTAAATTTAGTCCTCAAGTCAACCCTTGGAAACCATTATTATTCTTTGGTTATAGCTGATGCGAACAGACATTTTCAAAAACCAACTAAATTACACAGTGTTCTAACTCCAGTTCTTCTGAATACCAAAGTACAATCTTAGATTTCATAACACTTTATATTAGTTGTATTAGATAAAAATCAAATTTCTCCATAATTAAAAGAAATAAAACATGAAGAAGATAAACTATTTATTCATGGGGATATAAGGATTTTTTGCCCTCTGTATAAAACAGAAAGATGAAAATGCAGTGTTTCCTTTTCATAAGGCTACTTTGAGGAAATCACATGATACAATTAATCTTAAACAGCAGAAGAGCATGAGGCCTGTACTGATACTCCTAGGAGACTTACCAAACTTGTTTGGTACTTTCAAGGTCAGAAAATATAACTTATTTTGTGTTTGCCTCCTACACAGAAAAGACAGTTTGCTTCATTAATTTTAATGAAGGGGAAATCAGCATAAATGCCACAGATTAACAGTAGTCTGTAAATTTGCTCTGATGAACAGTGTATTTACTATACAATATAATTTCCATATATTTTTATTTTTCCACTTGCCTTAAATATGTTGAGGAAATATGTGACTACATTTCCTTATGAAAACTTTAGAGGTAACATTTCAGTAATTACAGGTACTATGCCTGTTAAACGACTATAGGAAAGTCAAGCCTTTCCCTTTATGTTTGTAGTATTTTGAGACCTAAGTGTTCCAAGTAAAATAATTTCAACTAACAAAAGCCTGTATTTCTATTAGATTGTTTACAAGATATGTTCCATATATATATATATATATATATATATTTCCCTATATATAGACAAATATATATTTTTATTTATCATATATATTCTTATATATATTTATATATTTATTCATATGTATATACTCATATATTTATATATTATTTATATATATATTCTTATATATCTATTTATTTTACCCACTACCTTGCATTATAGGTATGCTTCCAAACAGATACATATAAGTCTAGTCACAGGAATGAATTGCTTAAGTTCAGGTAGAAATTTCTGCAGTTGGTGAAAAATATTGGTACCTAAGCCATTTGCCGAAATTTTCAGTGCTTTATCAAAGTGTTATGCAATAACAACTATATCTTTGTCTTCCTCTATGTCTATATCTGTATCTACATTTGTATGTATACCATCTATCTCTCTATCTCCATGTCTGTTTCTATCGACATCTTTATCCTGCTAAGAGTGGCAGATCTGCTAAAAGCACGCCTTCATACGGGGGAATGTGACCTTGTTTGTTCTGATGGTACCACTATATATTTTTTGAGCCCTCTCTTCCTCTAGACACCAATGCCTTTCTAATCAGTGGGTCTTATAAATCAGTCTCCCAATTCAACCTCCAAAATGTTTCTTGATCCATCTTTCACCTTAATCCCTCTAAACTTAGGTGAGACTTATCTTTTACCATGATTACTACAAAAGCCTTTAAACTAAAGTCGCTTCTCTGAATAGCACACGTAAATAATCACGTTTCACATTCCTCTGGGAGTTATTTTTCTAAAACATAGGTATGATGGTATTATTCCTGTCTTTTAGAACCTTTAATGCCTTCTCCTTGCCTCAGGAATGTGAAATCATCACACTACTAGGGACTTTAACAAGTTGGCTTCAGTCCAACTATTTAGCATTAGGTGCAGCCAGCATTTCTTTAATGAGTTATGCACGTTCCATGATTTGTAACTGTATTTATACAATTACCTCCACTTCAAGCCCTAGAACAAATTTAACCTCCTCAGTGATGTCTTATTCAGTCTCTCAAAGTAGAATTCGGCATTCTCTTTTCTACTTTGTGGTAGCGTTGTGTTCAAAGTTTATTTATAATATTCATTCTGTTGTACTATGCTTGTTAGTTTGCCTATATTTTGTATCCACTTGTCCTCACAATTCGATTGCAATTTCCCTTTTATCTTTCCAATTTCTAGAACAGAGCCTATTTTTCATATGTGAGGGCTGACTGAATTGAACATAATAAAATATCATGTATTTTTGTCTAACATTTTTCTGCATTATGTATTATCTTAAAAAGAATTGCGATGAAAAAATAAATCCTTTAAGAAATTATTATAACCTCTGCCTTATTTTAAAAAGAAACAAATAATGAACCAGAAGCAATAGAGTGACAGTAAGGGAGAGAGACGTCATAATCACATAGGGATATCAAGCAGCTTATGCACATGTGCTTGGAGAAGCTTGGGAAACAGGAGGACGCAGAGGCGGAAGCATTTGAAAGTAGGTGTATCGGGGTGTTCTTATTATTTCAAGTAAGAGAAACTGGCTTATTTAAGGTAAATGTTATAGGTGTTACATGAAAACCAAGAGCAAGGATGCACCCAGATCTCAGAAAAAAATTAGTGAGAAATAAAAATAAAATCCGAAGTCTCCTAACTGACTGCATAAACCCTCTCTTGGCCAAGGGACCCCAGAGAAACCTTAAGACTGAGTTTCCAGCCTCACAGGTCGAGAGGTTAACACACCTCATCACACTTTGTCCCTTGCTCACTGACATCAGGCTTTCTTGCCTAAGGGTTAAAAACACAGTCCTTTTGAAAGACTCACGCTACCGCTGATTTCAGCCAACTGCCAGATTGCTGCACCCCATTTTTGTCTCCATAGAGCAACTGACCAGCGTTTTCCTTCCTGGTAAGAGACCACGAAAAACAGAGTGCTTCTGGCCAGTCTGTGGAGGATGCGCAGTTGCGCACTGAGGGTTTTCATGTCCTCTGCTTCACCTTTCAACATTAGTGTGCCCCAAACTCTGCCCTTAGATTATGCTAACGCTGCCATGTTTTGAACATGCCACCCATGAAAGGGCATGAATCTCAGATGTAGGTGTGCATGTTTCTCCTTTTATAAATATTCATGATTTCTCCTATAGTCTATTAAATATGTATATTTGGCCACCATGCTCAGCATAAATTCTCCTTCCTTCTTGAAGGAGGGAATTTACCCCTTCCTTCAGGTGTTTAATCTCGGCTTCTGCCAGATGCTATGATTCCCAGCCTATGAAATGGCCAGACTGCAGGTTGCAACCCTTTATGAGAAATAAAGCTTTCCATTTCAAATTGATGAACCTTGTGATTCTTCAGTTGACATTAGATAAAGATCTGGAATGCCTTCTCCATCTACTCATCTCTGTGTCTACTTTATTCTTTCTCAATACAGATCAAATTTTCCTGTTGTAATATGGTGACTAACACCTCCCTTTGAAGATTAGAACCAGATTAAGTCTGATATCAAGTTTTAATTTTCAGTTTTTATGGGGAGCAAACTTCATCCAGCTTGAACAAGACACCAACCCTTGAACCAATTATGTTCAAGAGTGAAGAATGGGTCATGTTTGGCTTAGTGATGGCTAACGCTCCCTCTCTAATATGTGGCATTGCTGGGTGGCTACAAACTGAGCTTAAGAGGGGTTATGGACAAAAGACTGGCTCATTAAGATGAAAATAAAGCCTTACTTTTTTTCAAAACAGATTAATAAACCCCATGTCTTTGTTTTAGGGTTAAATCAATTAACAAAATACATGAGTCACTAAAATGTAATCAAACCAAGGGGACTAATTGCTGCTCTGGTTTAAAAATACACACATCCCTCTAACCCTCTCTTGCTTCTTGAGAAGTGTTAGGGCTGGGCGCGGTGACGCAATCCTGTAATCCCAGCACTTTGGGAGGCTGAGGCAGGTGGATCACGAGGTCAAGAGATCGAGACCAGCCTGGCCAACATGGTGAAACCCCGTCTCTATTAAAAGTACACAAATTAGCTGGCCGTGGTGGCAGGCGCCTGTAGTCCCAGCTACTAAGGAAGCTGAGGAAGGAGCATCGCTTGAACCCAGGAGGCGGAGGTTGCAGTGAGCCGAGATTGCGCCACTGCACTCCAGCCTGGGCAACAGTGAGGCTCCGAAAAAAAAAAAAAAAAAAGACGTGTTAGAACTCTTCTACTCTTTCCTCCTATTTCCATGAAAGAATTTTCACTAACCTTCCTAGGAGGGGAGGAGATATGGAGAAAGTAATCTGACTTCTTTACTCTTCTCTTGGGCAAATGAATAATTTGCTCATTTAATTGATATTGAGAGAAAGGCACTGCTCTCCCATTTATCCACATGTACAAGGTAGTAACCTTCTTTTGCTCCTGTTCTGATGGGCTCTAATCAGTGACCCTAGGGGAATGTTCCAGGGCCATGTAGAGGCAGGGTAGGAGCGTAGCTTTCTTTTTGTTCCAGCCCTTGATGCTCAACAGATATGAGGAAGATTCTACCTCCAGTGGATTTGGGAAGAGGTATGTGTGTGTGTTAGAAATCCTATTTTCCCTATGAATCTAGATTGCATTTTCTATTCCAGCTTTGTCACATCAGTATTAAAAATTATTGTTTCCCATGTGATTTCAAATCATATATATGAATAGAGGTCTGATTTATTAGCATCTGTAAAACCCAGAAGAAGGTGCATGAGCTAGATAACCTTTTGAAATGGACCCAAGCATTCACTTAGCAACTAAACTAAAAAGTTTAATGCATTTGATTTAGATCAACTTTTTCCAGTTACAGAAGTGGAAGCCATTGTTCATTGGTGATGGATTTATTTTTCGTTCAGCACAGGCCTGGGTGCCATGAATGGGGCTTTGCTGCTGACTGAAGGAAGCAGCATGGTTGAGGGAGGAATTAGGTCATTAAGAAAGGGAAAGCTCTTAGTTCCAGTAAATCCTCATGTCACTAAAAGCATAGCTTCTGCTTTTGTTTGTTTTGCCTTAAAAGAAAGGCTCTCAAGTTTTGTTAGGTAAACCATTTTGGCTCCCTCTAATGCAGTATTTCTAGTGTGGTTCCCAGCCCAAAATTTCACCATCCTCACAGGACTTGTTCAAAATGCAAATTTTCTGGCTCAGTCCTCAGAGGTTTCAATTCAGTGGGTCTAAAGTGATGGGGCTCAAGAAGTTAGGGAAAATTGTGTCTTTTTTTAATTTTATTTTTATTTTTTGAGACTGAGTCTCACTCTGTTGCCCAGGCTGGAGTGCAGTGGTGTGATCTCAACTCACTGCAACCTCCACCTCCCAGGTTCAAACGATTCTCCTGCCTCAGCCCCTCCAGTAGCTGCAATTACAGGCACATGCCTCCACGCCCGGCGAATTTTCATATTTTTAGTAGTGACGGGGTTTCACCATGTTGGCCAGGCTGGTCTCGAACTCCTGACCTCAGGTGATCTGACTTCCTCGGCCTCCCAAAGTGCTGGGATTACAGGCATGAGCCACCATGACTGGCTGGAAATTCCTTTATCTTTAATGTTAACTTTGTAATTCAGAATTTACTTTGATCTTTATGAGGAAAAGTGAGTTAATCTTTGGATTTTAATTTTTCTCTAAAAATTAAAGGATGGAAGGTTAATATTCAAATTTGGGACATATTGCTATTGCTATTATTGTATTTGTGGGTATTTTTACTATTGTATATTTACAATAATATATAGACTCAATACATTACCTTGGGTGAGCTGTGTTTGCAAAGTGGCTGAGTCTAATTTAAGATGAAAAATGAGTTGGGGAGGAGGCTGAGCCTCCTGCGTGGTTGGACCTATTTGACTCGTGAACTGCTCTGGTCTGGTTCCAGAAGCATGTTGAGGCAAAGGGCAATGCTCACCAGCAGTGAGCAGTAGGTTGGTGCTGGAGGCGGCCCTCAAGGTGCCTATCTCACTGTTTGCCTTGTCCCCTGAGAGACCAGTAACATCAGTGAGTTGTTGGGCCTGGGAGTCCAGAACCCTGTTCTCCTAAGCCTTATATTTCTAAAGTGTTTCCATTTCACTCCCCAAGTGGTAACAGTATTGGGAAGATAAGTTCTGCCCCTCTCCTGAGCCCTGTTGACCTGTTCATTTGCGGAGCAGAAGTGAAGCATGTATTCAGTAGAGGATATTTTGCTGAGCATGTGTGGTTCTACCTTGTCCCTAGCTCTCTTGGGCCTGCCCACAATCTATATAAAAGGTTTGCTGGGCTCCTGCTGCTAGGGAAGAAGCATAACTCTATATGAAATGTGATTTGTCTTCCTCGTTAGTATAGTAGTGAGTATCCCCACCTGTCAAAACACAGTTGGTGGATGAGCATCAATATTATCATCTGTAAGTTTCTTAGAAATCAGAATCTCAGAGTGCTGGGCATAGTGGCTCATGCCTGCAATCCCAAACAACTGAGAAGACTGAGGCAGAAGGATCACTTGAGGCCACGAGTTCGAGACCAGGCTGTGCAACATATTGAGACTGCAATTACAGGAAAAGAAGAAATTAGAATATCAGGGCTGATCCTAGACCTATTGAATCAGGACCTACTTTTTAACAAAACCCTGAGGTGGTTTGTATACCATTAACATTTCAGAAGCACCAATTTATTCTTTCCAAACTCCCAAGATAATAACAATGATCTGGAGTGATTTTTAAAATGCAGATTTTCAAGACCCATCTTGCTGTTTCAGAATCTCCAAAGAAGGGTCCTGAGAATATTTGGGAAACACTGGAAGCCCATCTCTCACCATCTGGAGCAGCACTTCTCACACTTTAATGTATATTCATATCCCCCATGGACTTTGCTGACACACAGGCTCTGATTCAGGAGGTCTTAGTTGGGGTCAGAAGTTGATGTTCATGCTGCTTAATGACAGGCAACATTTAGTAGCAAGGCTACAATATCAGGGCTAGTGGGGATGAAGCATTGAATAATTTTGCAAATGTGTCTGATCTATCTATCTTTTGAACTCTCTTGGATATGGTGTCCTAAGGTCTAGATTTATAGACAGCATGTTAGTAAGTCTGTTTTTGAACACAGCTACGGTGTTCTCCAACTCAGCTTTATAAATAATAAAGCTGCTATTTTGATCTCCATATGTTTGACTCCTATGTCTATTCCTGATAGAGTTTGTGTGTGTGTGTGTTTGTGTGTGTGTTGGTGTGTTCCGTGTGTGTCTGTATCTGTGTCAGTTTAAGCCCAAGCAAGGTGTAATAGTCACAATGTTTCTGTATGAGAGTAGTTTCAAAATCTCATCTCCACAGACAGTAGGATAGATATTAAACTCCTACTCCAACATCTCTTCCCAATTCAGGGTTTAAAAATAAAGATATATCCACAGAAGCTAATATTTCTGCTAGATGCTTCTGAGGCCAGGTTTAATGTCATCAATGTCTTTCTCTGCTTGAATCAGAGGAGATAAATAAACATTTAATAACATTTTATAATTCCTTTAAGGTATGAGAGGTTCCATCAAAAAAGAAATTCTGTAGCACTTAGAAGGGGAGGCATGTGTGTTACTAAGTCATGGATTTCCAGGGCTCAATTCATCTGTGCTAGTGGCACAGACTGGGGGAATCCTAATATACAAGGAAAAACCAGAGAACTTTGGTGAGATTTTTGTTTATAAGAATTTGCTGGGCACTGGCATGGTCTGTACCTGAATGCTCAAGGAAAGTATATACTTTGGAGGAAAGCAGACATTTTTGTTTTTTTGGAATAGAGAGAAAGTGTATTCTCTCCCTTTTTCAGAGAGGAACTTATCTGAAATAAACATTTGGATGAAGGGTAGAGCTTTCTACAATTATCTCCACCTTTCAGAAAATTCTATGAGAGGAAAGGTCTTAGAGACAAATTGAGTCATGACCTAGGGGGATTTAAATTGTACAACAGAGTCATTGTTTAAAAAGCAGCATTTATATTTGGGAGGACTTATCAAGGATAAATATTCCTCAGTTACCTTCCAAAATATTTTTTATTTTTTTTGTCATTGTTTTATTCAGGTGTCTTTTTGTCTTGACAGTTAGGAGACATATAGAGACTGAAACTCAAAAGCAATTACTAAAGTATGACTTTTGCAGAAAACAAATAATTCAAATAAAACATAGGAAAGAGAAGATTCAATAGTAACAGGAGGGTTACGGAGTATTTAAGCAGTTGGTAATAGAGCAAGGTAGAGAATTAAGTGACTAAGAAAGCAAAAATGAATGTAACCAAGAGTTGAGAAACTTCCTGAGCTAGGTCCTTGCATGAAATAAAGTCAGTATTCATACTCTTAGACTTGGGCTAAGTTTCATAAAAGTTGTTTTACATTTTGTGTCTATAATTTTTTATTTTTTACTAAAAAAAATATGAGTGTCATGTCATTTATGTTAAAATCCAATGTTATCAAAATTATTAAATGCATGGTTTCTTATGAAGTCACAAAAGGAGATATAGAAAACAAATATTTGTTGGGCATTGCTAAGGCGATTTGACATTTTTTAGTTGTGCAGAATCTGTTATCTCTTCCTGATTGTATTGAGAGGTGAAGCCAGCTAGACTTCCTGGTTCGAGTGGGGACTTAAAGAACTTTTCTGTCTAGCTAGAGGATTGTAAATGCACCAATCAATACTCTGTGTCTAGCTAAAGGATTGAAAATGCACCAATCAGCACTCTGTAAAAACGCAGCAATCAGCGCTCTGTGTCTAGCGAAAGGATTGTAAATGCAACAATCAGTGCTCTGTAAAATGGACCAATCAGCAGGACATGGGTGGGGCCAAATAAGGGAATAAAAGCTGGCCACCCGAACCAGCAGCAGCAACCAGCTTGGGTCCCCTTCCATGCTGTGGAAGATTTGTTCTTTCGCTCTTCATAATAAATCTTGCTGCTGCTCGCTCTTTGGGTCTGCACTACCTTTAAGAGCTGTAACAGTCACTGTGAGGTCTGCAGCTTCATTCTTGAAGTCAGTGAGACCAAGAACCCACCAGAAGGAGTAAATTCCGGACACAGTATCTCATTTCCTAGTGGGTAAATAACTATTCCTTACTGTGTGTAGACTTTCTAGGATGGTAATTCAACAGGCCATCTTCCATCATGGAAGATTAATCTGGAGCTCTTTTCCAGGTATTTGGATCTCAAGCAGTTACTGCAAGTCTGAGAATGATTGGTTGGCAATTGTCCCCCTCCCCTTCCTTCAACCTCCCCTCTAGGCTTTCAGACAGGGAGACACTTGCTGGGATTCTTAATGCCTATGTGTATTTTAGATGCCCAGTCCTGCTTAGTTCCAAGCCTGATCCTCCAGTTTTCTGTCAATTCAGCGTCTTGTCTCTAGCACCTCTCTGCCCCAAATATTTTTCCAACAAATTCCTTTTTGCATAAATTTTCCAGTTCATACTGCTTGTTAATAAGAACTTGTTTTGTAGAACACAAGACAAAATAAAACGCTCCTTTTATTGTATCCAGTAAAAAATGCATTTTAGATCCCCAAAGATTAAATAAATCATGTTCTATAGAAATTGTATAGTAAATCATTTTGGAACATTAAGTATTATTTATATGTTTGCAATATATTTATTGTGCTTCACATTATCTCCTAATAGAAAAAACTCCAAAGTAAAGAATCAACTGAAATTTATGAAAGATTAGTCACAAAATAATAATGGTATTTAGCTCAGTGCAAATGTGAGATATCAGATAACTTATGCTCTTTCCTGTACTTTTATATATATATATATATAATTACTTACCATTTCATAATGTGTATGTATTATTCATATAACCAGAAAAATAAGCTATTTTGTTGAAAAAAGTGTAAATTATCAAAAGTAATTTTACTAATATACAAGTTAGATATTAGTTTCCTGATGTAAAATTATGTATCTGCCAAGATTTACTCTACATTGTTACACAGAGATTATAATTCTTACCTCTATTTTTCATTAGTTCTCACCTCTATTCCTTGTTCTCTCAGTTTGTTTAAAGCATACTACAATAAACTATTGGGATGTGGTAACTACAATTATTAGAAAACAAATACCAATAAAACTGTTATGCAGAAGATTGAAACTGGACTTCTTCCTTACATAATACACAAAAATTAACTCAAGATGGATAAAGACAAAATATAAGACATAAAACTATAAAAAGTCTAGAAGAAAACATAGGAAATACAATTCTGGATATTGGCCTTGGTAAATAACTTATGTAAGTCCCTGAAAGCAATTGAAACAAAAACAAAAATTGTTAAGTGTGACCTAATTAAACTGAAGAGCTTCTGCACAGCAAAATAAACTATCAAAAGAGTAAATAGGCAACCTATAGAATGGGACAAATTTTGCAAACTATGCATCTCACAAAGATCTAATATCTGCAATCTATAGGGAACTTTCATAATTCAACAAAGAAGAAAACAACCCCATTAAAAAATGGGCAAACAACATGAACAGACACTTCTCAAAAGACGTATATATGGCCAACAAATATATGAAAAAATGCTCAACATTGCAAATCATTAGATAAATGCAAATCAAAGCCACAATAAGATATTGTTGCAGAATTTTACTCCTTAGTTCAGCTAAAACCTAGGTTCTTGTCACGTGACCAGGAAAACTTAGGCACATCGACACATTGAAGGGTGAGTAGAGCAGGGTTTTAATGGGTGAACAGATAGAAAAACTCTCAGTAAAGCAAGAAGGTTTCCTGCTAACAGGCCCCCAACCTCACATATTGAATCCCAGACCACCACACAGGAACAGAAAAGAGCAGGTGCCTCTCCTGCATAAGGTGCAAATTCCCCATGGCTACACCCACTTCTCCCAGTGCACAAGTCAGGCTCCAGTCTGCTGTGGGCCTGACCAGACAAGCCCTGGGCAGGTTCCCTCACCTGCACAAAAGCATCTGATGTAAACACTTGTGGGGTGGGTCAGAGATTCTCCAGGTACCCCTTTTTATCTGCCTAGGCATTTGGCCATCTCATTCACAGCTCTAAAGAAGTACATCTTACTGCTGTTGATAAGGATAAGGGTAAGGACAAGGACAAAGACCAATCTTAACTGCTTCCTGCTGACAGGGGGCACTGTTTTGGGAAAATGGAAGTCAGATCTTCTTCAGGGGCCTAAGTGACCCCAGCAAAAGGGGCTATGGTCTGAGGCTCTGGCTGCATGAGCATTTAGAGTTTGATGGTCTGAAGGCAAGAAGAGAAAAACCAGGTTATTAGAAGTCATGTATTAAAATGAAACAAGCAGGGAAAAGGACAGCTCAAAAATCCTGAGGCCTTTTACCAGTTTGCACAGGGAGAAGGAGGCCACAAGCATGAGTGGTAAAAAAAAAAACTTTTACTCTTTTGCCGGCATGCCAGTCTTCTGGCTTTCCTTTCCCTGAGCCCAGTCTGAAGCCAACCAGTCTAAGGTTTGGGAAATTAACTTTTCCCAGTTTGAAGGATGCATCCAAGGGGAGTGTCCTGTAGTATGGAGACATGATTACCTATCAGTGAAGTGAGGAAAGAGGAGGAAAAAAGAAAAAAGAAGGCATTTTTTTCCCAGAGGAATCCCAGAGGTTCAGAATGCATTCTTAAGGGGTACAGGCTGAAGATGAATGGCTACTGATCTAGAAAGAGGGAAGCAGGTACCCCTGGTTCCTTTCTCTTCCTAGCAAATACCCAGGGTAAGTAAGGGAGAGAAAGTGAGGCATTGCTCTATCTTCTGTCCTTGCATCCCCTAGTCCTGGTGACTGCGACAGAGTGCCACCCATGAGTGTCAAAGTGGCTTTCACCTGTGTTAACAGGGGGCCTAGAGGGTGGGAGTATCCGCTCTTACCCATGTACACCCTATCTCCCCTGCTTTCAGAAGCCTTTGAATTCCCTAGACCTTATTTATTGCCATGGATACCAGTGTGATGTTTATCCATGAAATGGGAAGCTTGGCTTAATCAGCAGGAATTAGTCATGATCACCTGCGCTGTGCCTTTTAACTTCCATTGTCATCTGCCTCTGGATCCCTCAGATCCAGTTTTCTTTCCTAAGGCTTTGACCTGAAGCTTGGAATTGAGTTTGGGACAAAACTGTGTCTTGCAGCGGTGTTGTATGGACTCCTTATCATAAGCCAAATGCTAAAGCGAAGCTGTGGGATTGATTTGTCCTCCAACAAGGGAGAGGAAAAGATGTCTTGTGACACACCCAAGACATCCTTGGTGGCATAACTTGGTAGCTATAGTTATGCTTGCTAAGATTTTGGTGATGAGGCTTGGCTCCATTGGTCTTACTTTCCCAAAGAGGAAACCTCCAGGTAATGGGCACCCTATTTACTCCCATCACCTGGCAGGATTTTCAGGATTTCAGGATTTCACTTCCCCCCAGTGCACATGTCTGGCACCAGTTTGCTCAGAACTAGAATATTAATCCAGATTTTTACATCACACATCCACTTTTATTCCTTCTGAGCTGCAGTTGGAGATTGCTGGTTGGTTCACAAGAACAAGCAGGGATAGTCTAAAATGTAGGCAAAAACTTAAAAACAACTAATGAGTGTAGATTCTAATGATGATAAGTTTTGAAACATAATTTCTCTCTAGTCCTCATTTCTGTTAAAAACAATTCATGATAGGACTGCATTTTTTGCAAAATGGACTTTATTCTTATACTTGGCCTGATTATTTGCATAAAGTGTAGCAAGAATAATTATTTTGATATAAGCCTTTTAGATTGGCATTGATGGAACTCTATTCCACAAAGAATATCAAATAAGACCTTTTAAAGCTGAGCCCACCCAGAGATGCCAAAATATTGCAGAATTTTGCTCCTTAGGTTAGCTAAAACCTAGGTCCTTATCACACAACCAGGAAAATTTAGGCACACAGATACGTTGAAAGGTGAGTAGAGCAGTGTTTTATTGTGCAAAAAGGGGGAAAAAAAAGGAAAAACTCTCAGCAAAGTGAGAGGCTAACAGGCCTCCAACCTCACAGATTGAATCTGAGGCCACCATACAGGAACAGAAGAGAGCAGGTGCCTCTCCTGCATAAGGTGTGAATTCCCCGTGGCTCCACCCATTTCCCCCCAGTGCACATGTCTGGCACCAGTCTACTGTGGGCATGGCTAGCTCTGGGCAGGTTCCCTCGTCTGCATAAAAGCATCTGATTTAAACACTTGTGGGGTGTTTTGGAAATACTCTAGGGACCCCTTTTTATCTGCCTAGGCATTTGGCTGTCTCATTACCATCTCAAACCAGTCAAAATAGATATTATTAAAAAGTCAAAAAATAACAGATCTTGTTGAGGTTGCAGAGAAAGGGGAACACTTACATACTTCTGATGAGAATGTAAATTAGCTCAACCACTGTGGAAAACTGTACAGATTTTCCAAAGATCCTGAAACAGAACTACCATTCAACTCAGCAGTCCCACTACTGGTTATATACCCAAAGGAAAATAAAATGTTCTACCAAAAAGATACATGCACCTGTATGTTCATCACAGCACTATTCACAATAGCAAAGACATGGAAACAACCTAGATACACATCAATGATGAACTAGATAAAGAAAATGTGGTACACATATACCATGGAATACTACACAGCCATAAAAATGAATGAAATCATATCGTTTGCAGCAACATGGGTGCAGCTAGAGGCAAGTATCCTAAGGGAATTAACACAGAAAGAGAAAACCAAATACTGCATGTTCTAACTTATAAGGAGGAGCTAAACATTGAGGACATGTGGACACAAAGATGGCAACAATAGACCCTGGGACTACTTGACATGGGAGGGTGGGAGGAAGGGATGGGTTGAAAAACTACCTATCAGCTATTATGCTGATTACCTGGGTGACAAAATTATCTGTACACCAACCCCCCATGACATGTAATTTACCCATGTAATAAACCTGCACATGTACCCCCGAACCTAAAATAAGTTGGAAAAAAACCTTACTGTTAGAAAAAAGGTAATATGTACAGCTACAGATGTTAATGTAAGTTGAGAGTTCCTAATCTTTTAAGGATTTGCTACATTTAGAGTAGAATCATACGTATTATAAAAGCAAATGCAAATTTAAAATAAAAGGCTTAAATACCCCCAATGAAAATAAGGGAAGAGACCCTCGCCACCTGCCCCTGCTTTTTCTTAAGGTATTTACTTCGGAATACTTGTAAACTCCTTCTTGTCACTTTGAAGTGCTTTTTATATGTGTTTGAATGTCTCATAATGCTCTTTTGATAGCTAAATAAACCTCTTGCAAACTTTGAGATACAGGAATGTCTTTCTTAAGAACCTGGGAATCATCTCTTTGAAATACAATCTTCAAGGAGGATGGTGCCCCTGTCTCTCAGCTTCTGTGGGAGGGCAGGAGACTAACTTATGTGGGTGCCTTGCTCCAAGTTGCTAAATTACCTCCTGTCATGAAGACATGAGAAGTTTCTTTTTACTTTGGATAAAGCTATTTAGCTAACACAGATGGTCATCCCAGCTACTGTAGGGATGAAGAGGAAAAGCTTTCCTTTTCC
The DNA here is from genome assembly GCF_000001405.40 of Homo sapiens. Classification (NCBI taxonomy): domain Eukaryota; kingdom Metazoa; phylum Chordata; class Mammalia; order Primates; family Hominidae; genus Homo; species Homo sapiens. The sequence goes on along the minus strand of NC_000006.12, from coordinate 103,876,100 downwards.
CCTCTAAAGGGTTCCTGAAAATGAACTTACAAAAGGCAGAATTAGTGGGAGAAAAAAGTATACAGTTTTAAAAAATGTGTATAAGTGCAGGAGAATGATTATCCAATAACCCAATGAGGCCTAGATTTGCCTGTGCCCTTCTTCATAGGGGAAAGGGTGCTGGGGGTTGTAGGAGTGGATGATTTTTGGGGAAATGAGTGAGCCCAAAGAACAATGGCCTGTGGCAAAGTTCCTGTGAGCTCTGGTAAAGGGAAGCTGAGAGGTAGAACTTAACTGTGAACAAAGTTTGTCTTATGATGCAGATAAAACCTATTTTGGAGCTGGCCTCAGAAGAATAAAGGAAACTATCTGGGTATGGCGATAATTCTCCCAGTCTCTTCTCATCTCAGGTGGTTGATCTTTTCTGTTTTTTTGTTTTGTTTTGTTTTGTTTTGATTTTTTACTTTTTTTCACAGTCAGGTTTTGCTTTGTTGCCCAGGCTGAAGTACAGTGATATGATCATAGCTCACTGCAGCCTTGAATTCCTGGGCTCAAGAAATCCTTTGATTTTTTCTAGAGACAGGATTTTATTATATTGCCCCTGCTGGTCTTGAGCTCCTAGCCTCAAAGTATCCTCCTCCTCAGCCTCCCAAAGTACTGGGATTAAAGGTGTCAGTCGCCATGCTGATTTCCCAGTTATTTTATGAGATTCCTAGGGAGAGGGTCTTAAGACAATTGCATTTGTTCTGGAAAGAAACTCTTAGTCAGATAAGGATATTTGGTGCTTCAGAAAAGCAACAGAATCCGAGAGCCAGGGGGCCAAGGAAAGATAAGAGAGAGATCTTGGTTCTGAGGCTAATATCGGAGTCCATTCAATGTTCCTTAATTCAAAATGTTACTGGAAGGGGGTCCCAAGAGTGGATTCTTGGATCTCACGGAAGAAAGAATTCGGGGCGAGTCCATAGAATAAAGTAAAAGCAAGTTTATTAGGAAAGTAAAAGGAATAAAGAATGGCTACTCCATAAGCAGAGCAGCGGTGTGGGCTGCTCAACTAATTATACTTATAGTTATTTCTTGATTATACGCTAGACAAAAGGTGAATTATTCATGATTTTTCTGGGAAAGGAGTGGGCAATTCCCAGAACTGAAAGTTCCTCCCCGTTTTAGACCATGTAGGGTAACTTCCTGATGTTGCCATGGCTTTTGTAAATTGTCATGGCACTGGTGGGAGTGTCTTTTAGTATGCTAATGCATTATAATTAGTGTATAAAAAGCAGTGAGGATGACCAGAGGAGACCGTCTTGGTTTTGGTGGGATTTGGCTGGCTTCTTTACCACATGCTGTTTTATAAGCAAGGTCTTTGTGACCTGTATCTTGTGCCGACCTCCTATCTCATCCTGTGACTTAGAATGCCTAGCCTCCTGAGAATGCAGCCCAGTAGGTCCCAGCCTCATTTTCCCAACCCCTGTTCAAGATAGAGTCACTCTGGTTTGAGTACTTCTGACAAAAACACTCAGTATGCCAAAGTGCCATATTTTTGGCTATCATTTTCTGTGCCCCAACCCTACTAAGTAAATTTAGTATGAACTATGTATGACGAATGGTGCTGTCAGGTCCTCTTACTTGAGGACTAGCAATTGTTTAATCTTGAAAACATATATGTTATGGATTGTATCTGCTTGGCTATTTAAAAGGGTGAGTTTTTTTTTTTTTTGTCTTTGCAAATCTCTTAGCAGATTGCTTGTGATACACATCAGGTTCTTGTTTAATATTTATTGAGTAACAAAATTACTTTCTTTTCTGTCTTTGTGGATAGGTTTTCTGTGTTGGGAGGTAATTTTTCTTTTAATTATATTTCTCCAACTATGTGAAATAGACAATCATATTTCTAAAGATTCAGGATATTGTTAATTCTATGGGATGTATTAAAAGAAAAAGAAATCCAAGATCATTTAAAAAAATTTCTTACCCGGGAGGCAGAGGTTGCAGTGAGCTGAGATCGTGCCACTGCACTCCAGCCTAGCGACAGAGTGAGACTCCATCTAAAAAAACAAAAAAGTTCTTTAACAGCTCCTTTTTAAAAATGAAATAATTTTGCTATAATGTGTATTTTGTGTGTGTATGTGTGTGTGTTCTGGTATGTACTATTAATTGCATGATCTCTGAGAAGAGGATCTGTGCTTAGACTTTGATAAATAGAGCTAGTACCTACAAGCTTGTTTATTCCACTTGGTACCCTAAATCCTTCTTTGTGCATTGGGTATTTATAATCTAATAAATGCCAAGAAACATTTGGAGAATAGTCTAATTATTTTGGTGTTTCTTGTTCGCTTACATGCCTTGTTTGTATTTTTCTGGGGTAAATTTATGCTAAAAATAATCTTTAGAGTATATGCTGTAATTTAGCTCCAGGAACAGATGTGGTTTCTAAATTTGGGATGCAGTGTTCCTCAGGCTATCCCTCTGTGTGGTCTTTGAGACTTTAGTAGTAGCAATAATCATAGTTCATCTGACTCTGATAGTTTTTATGTTTTTATATAGCCCCAAATGTACATTACATGACCTATTTGATGGCAGGAATTTTTTCTACTTAGTAATATGAATATAAAACAACAATGACAAAAAAATTAACAGGAAATAAAAATCAAATAGTGGTAAGTTAACTTACTGAGGTTTTGTATTTATTCTTATTCTGAAAGAATGCAACTTTTTTTTTCCTAAAATAAATATAAATAAATCAAATCTCTTTGGCTTGATATTATTACTATGGGGAAGCATTGATTAAGACTGGAATAATTTGAAATAAACTGTCCTGAAATTTATATTCAGGGACAACAGAAGTCAACAAAGGGAAGATAATGTGCAAGTACATGTATATATAAAAGATCCAAATTAATATAATAACTGTTCTCTGGTTCTCTATAAGACCATTAACTAATATTTAGTCCTTATAGTAAGCAACAGTGAATACTATATTTACAAGGTAAAAATAAATAACAGTGAATTAATAAATTTAAACAAAATTAAAGGAAGCAACTTATTTTAATGTATTGTAGAGGTGAGATCCCTGATTTGTCTGGATTAATTTCTGAAGTTTTAGTGGCCTCTGTACTGTCTATGGGGATGTAATGCTTTCCTTCCTCAGGCAAAATTTCATAAAAACAAAGGCATTTCTAAACAGCTGCCTGATTTTGGACTGCTGCTGACCAATATTAGGAAAGAGCTGTTGTTCCTAATCAGAACAGACATTGGTCTCTTTCTCATGCAAATTTTTACTTCTAACAGCACTTTGAGTCACAATTCAGCCAAGGATTGGTCCTGATTGTATGGGGTTGCTAGGAAACACCCTTCTGTGAATGCAGGTTTTAAGATACTTTTTCACAGTGCAAATTTTTTACAATGATGGATATTAAATTTAAGATGATGTGTGAATTAAACAGTTTCATAAAATTGAAGATAAAAGGTTTTGGTTCCTCAGAAAATATATAAATAATTTCTGGCTTAATTTTTAATCTAAAATTTCTACACTTCAATATTGAAGAAATGAAATTTCCTCTATATGGCAGTGTTTTGCTGTGTATCCACAAACGTGAAAGGATATTAATTAGCATGTTGTTAGAGTGTAAGAGACTTTAATAGCCTAACTGGAAGGGCGCCCACATGTCCCTGGAAAATTACAAGCTGCAACTCACAAGCTATAACTGATAACCAGATGGATAAGTATGGAGTTAATGTTATTTCTTCTGGGACCAGAATGTCAAAATGAATATCTAATTAGGCTACTGAATAACTTTAGGAACACACAACAAAAATAAATCAAGGAGCAGTTTTAAGAACAATAAGAATAGGCCAAAGCTATCTTAATATTAAAATAAAAATCAAAGGAGTGAAGCTTTGGAATTATTGAATATAGAGCAAATATAATATTGACTACTATACTTATTTAAATAGGTTAGGTGAAATTTATTTAACTCTCATTCGATTTTTAAAGCTGATTTATAAATTGGTGAAATAGCATGGCTACAAATTATATAAAGATAAAAGTATCTTTAGAGAAGCTGGAACAATTGGCTAAGCAGAAAGTCTTTTTTTAAGAAAAATATACTTTTGATGTTTCTTTGAATTCTATAAAAAAACATTTATTTGAAATTATATCAATAAATATTTATTACTTGCTGTAGGGATAGAGGTGAACAAAATCTCTCTGTGCTCTAAAATCATAAAAAATATTGTTGACAGTTGGAGTAACTTGTAGAATTAATGTCTAGAGGCCTCTAATTTTGTACAATAATTTTAGGAATTTCAAGTGCATGTGTGTGTATGTTCATAAAATAAATGTATTATTATTTTTTAAGAGATTTATTTTTTATTCACCTCTTGATTTTAATTGTCTTTGAGGCTAAAGATAAAATTGGTCAATAACACAAATGTCTGTTACCAGTTTTAACTAACCAATTGAAGAATCTCGAGACAACAAACAAGTATGTTTACTCATTTCAATGCACAATTTGTACCATCATTTCTTGTTCAATGGAGAGCTTCGGGTACAGACACACAAATATACACCTAGATAGGTAGATGTTTTTTAAATGGATAATAATCTCCAAAAAGGAATTTTTCAGATGAAAAAGAGGATAATGAGATTTTACTTGAGACTTCCAAATGAGATAGTCTGAACATTTGGTTGAAAGCCAGTACACTATTGTGGCTAATGGCTTGGACTTTAGAATTATCCAAAACTGGGTTTAAATCTGTGATCCACTAATTAATGTTGTTATGCCTTTGTGAAAATACTTATCTCTCAAATAATCAGTTTCCTCGTCAGCAAATTGGGTAAATAGTATCTCTGCCATAGAGATCCCATAAAAGTTAAATGAAAAATGAACATAAATTACTTAGGAAATTGTTTACTTCCTGGTAAGCATGCCATGACTGCCAATTATTATGATCTGGCTTACATAATTATGAGCTAAAGCTGAAAATATACAGGAAGTTGGGTAATCTGCATTGCCGCCATGGCATGCTTTCTTCAAAGCATTATTGTTTCCTTACTCTTTATAATCTGTACTTTGGTTCTTTTTACTTCTGTTGTCTTTCTGTCAGTTTCTTGTTCATATCCTTAAATATTAAGTTGGCCTTACTGTGGAAAATAACTAGCTGCAAAAACTGAGCATTGCTGCTTTGAAAGCCATATCTGAAGCAAGCTAGAATCCAAGTGGGTGGGAAGAGCTTCGGACAGAGATGCTGTTCTCAGAAGGGCTCAGCCAAGCTGAAGAGAAATTCCAAGAAAAGTTTATGTTAGAGGAGGCTCACATGGGGTTGGGTGGGAATGGCCTGATTCTGAAAGCACTGCCATGCTCAGTTGTCCTCTAACAGCCACCCAGAGGAAGTGTGGCCCTGACAAAACGTGAGAGTTGAAGGCTCTTAGCAGCAGGTGAAGGGTGATCTGAGTCTTGGTAAGCCACCATGGGAAGCCTTCTACTTAAAGTCTTCCCAGCTTTCATCACAGAATAGCAATAACAAACCAATAATATATACTTCAGCATTCCTGACCAGTTTTGATAGGGAAGCAAAACTTCAAACTCACCACCAGTCATTTTTATACCAAGATTCCAAGTGATAGGAATTTTCTCAAGTATTTGCAGTTGATTCCTTTCTCTGGATCAATATTTAAAAAACATATATGGCTTTATGCCAGAACTCTCCCTTGATGGCTGATATAGTAAATGATCATTTCTTTTTCTTTTTGGTAAACCTAGATATGACTGTTGAGTTCTTCTCAATATAGGACATCCGTTAGATTAGATTACCAGTTGGATCTGTTGTATGAGATGAAACCTATCAGCTATTGTCACACAAGATATTCTAAAATATATTCCTTAAATCAAACAAGTGGAGAGCTGTACACCTGACCCTTACACTTTTATTGATTGATTGCTGCATGAATGGGTGGGTGGACTGATGGATGGATAGATGAATTTATATATTGATGATAAAAATTTGTATGAATATAGTAACTCACAGTTTAGCAGAGAATAAAGACTAGCAAACTGGTCAGGGCAATACAGGGTGAAAGATACCATACTATGCAAGTAAAACAGAATCTATAAATATGTAAAAGAGGCAGCTAACTCAAATTATGGCACCTGGGGAGATTTCCAGGAGAAAATGACATCTAAAATAAATATTAAAGTGCAGTTTAGTCAGACAAAGCTATAGGTGGGGTCAGGGATATTTCAAGCCAAAGAAACTTCAAGTGTAAGTGACTAAAATGAAGATGAGTAAGACAGACTACTGCTTGTTTATTGGAAGGTATTTTTGAAAGCCTTGTTATACTCTGTGTAAACAGATATCATGCATAATTGAATGATTACCACAAGAAAAACATCATATAGCAAAACTACGGAAATTTTTTTATTCAAATATTTTAAAATTCATAGAATGACTGATAAAATCACAAAAACTGCAGCAGTGGAATTAGAGTCCTCTGTGGAACTTCATTTTAATGTAAGAGAACAAGAGTTGAGGTTAAAAACCTGGACTTGGGCTGAGCATGGTAGCTCACGCCTGTAATCCCAGCACTTTGGGAGGCCAAGCTGGGTGGATCACTTGAGGTCAGGAGTTGGAGACCAGCCTGACCAATATAGTGAAACCCTGTCTCTACTAAAAATACAAAAGTCAGCCAGGTGTGGTGGCATGCACCTGTAGTCCCAACTACTTGGGAGGCTGAGACAGGAGAATTGCTTGAACCCAGGAGGTGGAGGTTGCAGTGAGCCAAGATCACGCCACTGCACTCCAACCTGGGCGGAAAACAACCAACCAACCAACCAACCTAGATTTGCCTCTCAGCTCTGCTGCTTATTGAGTACCAGATCGCTCACTCTCTCTGAACCTCTGCTTCCTCACTGATTATCTCACCCTGTCACTAAGAAACATAAGAAACCCCCATAGGGGAAAGCCGGTCACCTTGAAGGCAGGCAGGGGGGAGCCAGGAACCAGCTTGTGCCCAGAAAGAGTTAAGCTGCTGTCCCTGAAGGGACAGCCAGCCATGCAGCTGTGCAGGGGAGCGGCTGGAGCAAGCAGCCAAGACAGAGCAAACAGTGTGGGAGAGCTGCTGATGAGAGAGCTGCTGAATAAAACCATATTCACCTGCCTATGGCCTGATGAGTGTTCTTTCAGCTATCCATCGCCTATCCACCCACTCCCCTTAGACCTCAGCTGGGGCTCAAACCTGACCCTGGGTATGACATTTGGTGTAGTGGTGAACCTGACAATAGCCATGGAGTAAAATTTATAGATCTTAGAGAAGGTGAGATGTTAGATACCTAAAGAAGCATGCTGAAGCTAAAAGACTTTAACACCGATTAATAGTATTGAGACTGATATGGTTCAGGTCTGTTTCCCCACCCAAATCTCATCTTGAATTGTAATCCCCACCTGTTGAGGGAGGGACCTGTAATCCCCCACCATGTGTGGAGGGAGGGAGGTGATTGGATCAAGGGGTAGTTCCCCCCATGCTATTCTTGTGACAGTGAGTGAGTTCTTACAAGATCTGATGGTTTTGTAAGTGTTTGAAAGATCCTACTTCACACACTCTCTCTCCAGCTGCCTTGTGAAGAAAGTGCCTGCTTCCCCTTCTGCCATGATTGTAAGTTTCCTGAGGCCTCCCCAGGCGTGTGGAACTATGAGTCAATTAAGCCTTTTTCCTTTATAAATTACACAGTCTGGGATGTGTCTTTATAGCAGTGTGAAAACAGACTAATACAAAGACTTTGGCTCAAAGGCTCCTTTTATTTCCCTGCTCACATCTAGGATATATTCTATTGAAGTACCCTTCCAGGCTTGGCAAATATGCATTATATTAACAGTTAGCATTGTTAATTAACGCTCTTCAGCTGAGTTCTCCTTTGATTCAGCATATGCTATCTTTACCCCATCTGATCTAACTCTGTATATCTCAAGTATTGGCTTACCTAAGCTTAGTTTTCCTAAATACTGCCATAATTCACTTGTCACAGGGAGACTTAGTATTTATTTCATTACCCATAGAAAAGACTTGGAGGTAACCAAGTTCTGAGCAAGTGACCTTTCCATTTGGACAACTATGGTGAAGAAAATGGTGGTCCCATTGCAGAGGCTGCACAGACCCGCAGATATTTCCATGACAGCAAGAGCGGAAGTGAGATCTCCTCACCTAGGGAACCACACTGAATGCTCACCAGGCTGAGGCCGAGCACAAGCCACACCAGCAAGATTGGCAGTGCCTAGGAAGACAAAGGATATTGCAGTGGATACCAGAAGAACCAAACATCATATGTTCTCACTCATAAATGGGAGCCAAATTATGAAGATGCAAAGCCATAAGAATGATACAGTGGACTTCGGGGACTCCGGGGAAAGGGTGGCAGAGGGGTGAGGGATAAAAGACTACAAATTTGATTCAGTTTATACCGATCAGGTGATGGGTGCACCAAAATCTCACAAATCACCACTAAAGAACTTACTCGTAACCAGATAGCACTTGTTTCCCAAAAACCTATAGAAATAATTTTTTCAAAAAAAGAGTCTTTCACATGTCAACATCCTTGTTCATAGAGATACTATGTTGAGAAAGAAAAGAATAGAAGAGAAAATATTTTAGATCTTAAGAATTATAGCAACAATATTGTTTGAATTTTGGAATCAGTTACTGGGTTAGGCTAAGTCTGTTTTTCTTTTTCCCTCTCCTGTTTCTGTACTATGATGGAGGCTGAGAAGCAGATCAGAGCAGTTTTGGTGAATAAAGAAAGTACATTTTCTCAAATGACATTTGACTTCATTTTCATTATGAATAATTTCACAGCCTTTCCATACTAATCAGAAAAAGCTTATACTGTCATTGCTAAGAATGGTGTACTCAATTTTTTTTTTTAAGATGGAGGAGTCTTGCTCTGTCCAGGCTGGAGTGCAGTGGCGCGACCTCGGCTCACTGCAAGCTCCGCCTCGTGGATTCATGCCATTCTCCTGCTTCAGCCTCCCAAGTAGCTGGGACTACAGGCGCCCGCCACCACGCCCGGCTAATTTTTTTTGTATTTTTAGTAGAGACGGGGTTTCACCATGTTAGCGAGGATGGTCTCGATCTTCTGACCTCATGATCCGCCCGCCTTGGCCTCCCAAAGTGCTGGGATTACAGGCGTGAGCCACTGCGCCCTGCCGGTGTACTCACTTTTGAAACCTGATAGTCATAAAGTTAGAATGTACTTGAAGTCTAGACTTATATTGTAATTTAAGAAATCATCATGTGAATAGCAGAGCAGAAAACTATATTCTCTAATTCTCTATTTAAAGGACTCACTATCTTCTGTATAATTCTGAGGATATTAATTACAGTTTTTTTAAGAATTTCATTTTCTTCAAAGAAATAAAAAACATATAGATATCTGTCATTATTAAAATTACAGCCATTAAAAATCTTAAAAACAGATTATATACATTAAAATTTAGGGTTATATTAACAATCTGGAATATATAACAATTATAGAAGCATTAGAACAGAAAACATTGTTACATAATTAAGATCTTTCCTTCTCATACAAAGAAAAGAGAAACTCATCAATTAAAGAAGAAAAAAGACTGTTAGGTCAAAATTAAGCTAAAAGATTACAAAGTAACTAAAATATTTGAATAGAAAATTACTGGCAAAAATACATCTGAAAAAAATGCAAATAACTATAAAGGCTAATTTATAATCATGCAGACAAGAGTTAACAGGCCTGACTACTGTCTTCTGCAACGGCTGCTTAACAAGGTTGGCCCTTGGCTGGCATTTGGAAGTTGGATTTTAAGAGGGCTCCTGCCATTCCCGATAAATTGTCTCATTATAACTAAACTGTTTGTACAAACAATGTGGTTTATGCTGAATATCTGCTTTCCTTTTGGGAGTCCGAGTTTTGGTCCATGCCAAGCAGAGAGTGAACTCTGGACTCTGGACCAGAAGACCCTGAACTCTGAGTCTCTAATGAGCTTCCCTGGTTGGCAACATTTCACATCTGTTGTCCCAATTTGTTGCTAGGGGAATGAAGTGTGTCTTGTGTGACTCTCTGTAAGCTTGTGCCTGGTTTTCCCTAGACTTTGTCCTATGTGCCTTTTCGCTTTGATGATTTTACTTTGTACCCTTATTCTATAATAAAGGATGGCTGTGAATATGACTGAGTTCTCTGAGTCCTCCTAGCAAGTTGTTGAACCTGGGTATGGTCTTCAGGACCTCTGTCTCAATAGTAATATATGAAATTTAATACATTTGTTTACATAAGAAAAACATGGATATATGAAAAAAGATGGCATCTAAAATAAAGTATTGTGTGCCAAATAATATAGCCTTAATATATACAAAAGATATAAATATATAAAAATATATAAATATATTTAAGAAATAAGGTAATAGGTGAGAAAATTAATACAAAATAAGTAATATAAAAGAAGGCAAATAAAATATGCTATTTTTATTGTAATAGTTAATATTCTCGTTGTTAGAATTTTTTTATGTATTTTGGATTCAATGCTTTGTGATTTCTTTACGTTGCAAATATCTTATTTTTTATATATTTTATAAAAAATATGTAAAAAGATATAAAGCAGAAACTGTAGGACCCACAAAAAGACACAAATAAAATATAACTCTAAAGGATGATTTTAATTAATCTCTTTCAGGTCACGAAATCAAGCAGATTAAAAGGAAATATATAAAAGATTTAATTAATAAGAATAAAAGAAATTGCAGATTTCCAAGTTTTATCATATTCCAAACTATTTTATATACATAGTTTGTCTCTGTTTCGTCAGTTTGTCTATCCTTGTGCCATTATCACACTTTTTAAATTACTATGAACTTTATGATCTTTTCATGTTACATTTTTTTCTTACAATGATCTTTGGTATTTTTGACTGTGTGCTCTTCTGTATTAATTGAGAATCACTTTGCCAGTTTCCATGAAAATTCTGGTTGGTGGTTCTATCAGAATATAATAAAAAGTATAAATGAAGGTGACATCTTTATGATACTATAACTTTCTGTCTGTAAACATGGTCTATATCTCTGTGTATTTAGATGTAAATTATGCCTTTAAAATTTTTTAAAAACAATATTGATTTTTGTAGGCTGATCTTTTAAAAAATTAATTTAGAAATACACTGCACAAGCAGAAAAATGCTAAAAATTAAGTGACTTGACAGCTAAATGATTTATGATAAATCAAGTACCCACTGAACCTAAAACCAGGTCAAGAAATAGAACATTAGCATACCCCACAAGCTCCACTCTGCCAACTCCCAATTACTTCCCAAATGAAACCACACTCCTTATTTATACAGCAATCATTCCCTTGCTTTTCCTTATAAAATAACCACTAAAGCATACATCATTAATCACTATATTTTAGTCTTGAAAGGGTATGCTATTTTTTATTGTAATAGTCATTATTTTTCTTATTGTTAGAAGTTTTTTATGTATTTTGGATTCAATGCTTTGCAGTTTCTTTACATTGCAAATATCTTATTCTGTCATTTATCTTTTCACTCATTCAGTGTGAAGGCTTTAATAAACCCATGGTAATAATTTTAATTTAATCCGTTATAAATTTATTATTTTAAATTTAGTACTATCATATCCCATTTAACAAGTATTTCCCTACTCAGAGGTCATGAAGCTATTCTCTGGTACTGTCTTCTAGAAGCATTATTATTTTTATTTATCCAGCTAGATTATCTCTTTATTTGAAAGAAACATTAGTCCATTACACTTAATGTGTATTGCTAATATATTTGGGTTTAAATCTACTATGTTTCTAAGTGTTTCTTATTTGGCCTCCTTTCAATGTTACTTTATCTCTTTTTGCCTTCTTTTATATTGCTTCTTTTGTATTAATTTTCCCACCTATTACCTTAGAAATTATTCAGTATTTTATTACCCTTATTGTTGTTACACTTGACCAATGAATGATTAAACACGCATTCTTCACATTAAAAGAGCTAATGTTAATTGGACCTTTTACACCTTTCCAGACAGTGGAAGGCATTTGATATTGCTCACAACACAATACACAGGTTACAGATATTTTCAGTCTCTATTAATAGACAAAAGGCACTGCTGTTAGGTGGGTGTTTTCACTCAGTAAGCCATGCTCTGATACCATGCTCTCATTCCACTCCTGGCTAGAAACTGTTTCCCGTCACGACTAGGAACTTGTGGTTTTTGAAATATTTGAATATATATTTGAAATCTATTTTATATATACATATACTTATGTATGTATTCTAAGTGAAGTAATGATAGGGAGTGCTTATAGAAATTCTATTTGAATTAACCCACCATCTTGCCCAGAATCCCAGGGAATTTATTCTTGATTTTTTGTTATCTGAGGTGATTCTTCAAAATACCTAATTTTATAATCCAAAATCATATAGTGTTTTGAAAAGTAATTACTTAGTTACATAACATGAAGCTTAAAAAATTCAAGAAATGACTGACATATAGAATTGCATTTTAAGAAGCTTAGGCTAATTTAATAAGAAAATAATAGCGAGAAAGTGTAAAAAATGCCTTTTATAAAACTGAGTAAATATTTGAAACTATAACAGACAATATGGAACTATACTTTTGACGATGACTACTTCTGGGGTTTGTGCGTTTTATGTATGACATATTTACACATATTTCATTATGTGCTGTTCTTTATTCTGAGAGGGAGACAATTAATAGTATTGAACACAACATTATTTCAAGCTCCAATTAAAAAATATTGCATTCTTTGCCATCAAAAGTCTAATATTAACTTTATGAATAAAGTATTACTACTTTTATAAGAACTAGACTAGCTATTTTATTTCTCTGCCTTTCATTTATTTTTAAACGATCATTTCTTGGAAGAAAGTGAATTTTTTTACACTAAATCTTTTATTCAACCGTTGATTAACAAAAAAGATGCAGCTTTAAATAGAACATTTAGCCATTTATCAGAACTTTTTAAAAATCAGCTGCCATTTATGGGTTATAGCTCATAACTCATAAACAATAGCCTCTTTTACTTCATAGTTTACCTCTCTTGTTCTTTGGCCTTTAATTTCATATTTCATTTTGGTTAGATTAATTTGGTATTTTTTCCTAAGTTCATATTGTTGTAAACAAAACACATGACTGGAGTAAATCTTGGTTCTTCTTCTGACAGCCCATTTTCAGAGATGCTGCTCTCCAAATGCTGTTGATTTGGCTGTCACAATTGTACACCAAAAAAGAACTGCTACGATGTGTGTTTGATCCATTGTATTATTCTGCACAGTGATCAATTGCCTGTCCAACTTGCGCTTATTATTTTCATGGAAATTTCTTTCTTGGCTATTTTTAGGTATGCTCTACTTCCTTTTGCCTCCACCTATCCATACTTTGTATGCATTTTAAGAGTTTAATAAATTAAACTCCAACACACACATTAGCTACTGATAACATTAATATACTAACAGTCACAATCAAAACCACTCCTGTAAACCGTATTAGGAAATACTGATTGCAGGGAACTTAATGGAAGTGTCCTACTTTCTGGAGTCATTTGTTTTGATGAGAGCCTGAGTGTAAATCCTGTGCAAAACACAGACAGCTATTACGCAGTTAATTATGCACAAAGTAAACATGTACAACTGCAAACAGCAAAATGTCACCTAATAATGGATAACTCCAGATTTATGGTATGCATGCCCAATCTGTAAAGGCTTCTACTCATGAATCTAAAATGAATGGAACGTTACCTAAATGATCCAGAATGAAGGATTTAATACATTAGTCTACCCTTATTGCTACTTATTTCTTGTCAGCAGATTTTTCATTTTGCTTTAATTTATTGTACATAAACACTATGCAAATGTTTGGGTCATATTTAAAAACATATGGCTTGTTCTTATGATTACTAGTTAGGCATTTTATTACAGATTACTTGTTAGGCAAATCATTTTCTTAATTATATAGGTCAACATGTAATCACTGTTCCCACATGTACCTGTTATACAAAGCTCCACTAAGTAAATATACTGTGAATAATTTAGGGAATATGCTTATGTATTGTCCCTAACATGTGTGTCATTGCCTTCTGATTATTTTTATCAATGCAAATCCATTTCTTTTATAATGAGCACTTTAAATTTTGTATTTCTGCTATTAATGAGATTTTTTCTGGAGTTTCATACTAAATAAAATGTGCCACTTGATTGTTTTATCTATTCCCCAAACGAAAATGATAATTGAAGAGCTACTAGGTAAATTGAAATATAATTAGATTTTTATCAATTTATATAATTCATTTGTTTTTATACCCTTTGGTTCCAAAAAGTTAAAATGACTTACAAAAATACCAAAAATGCAGCTGTTTAAGGATGAAGTAAAGGAATATCTCAGGGCAGAACATAAAAAGGTGGGAGAAATAAGATGTAGCAGGAATGAAGTTAATTTACAAAATATATGGTGAGAAACTTTTGAGATCTGGACAATTTAGCTTCAAATATTTTATTAGTCAAAACAGACACAGAAAAATAAATGGTTAATGATATGCTATGGCAATCCAATCCATTGCTTCAGAGAAGCACATTTATTCTTAGTTCTGAAATTACAGAAATCTATCCTGTACATCCTTTCGGATAGAATGCGCTTTTAAAAAAATTCCAGGGTATCAATATAGATTGACTTATTGTAACAAATGTATCTCTCTGGTACAGGATGCTCATTGTGGGGGAGGTTATGGGTGTGTGGGACAGGGTATACTTAGAAGTCTGTATTTTCCTCTCAATTTGGCTTTGAACCTAAAACTTCTCTAAAATACATTTATTTATTAATTTTAAAAATCCCCAATAATCTCATAATTAGTTCTCATAACAGGTTGTAGGCTGTTCCACGTTCAATTCTTCTATGTAAAAGGATAGCACAATATCAGGCACAATTGAGTAAAAGCTGTCTCCTGACAGTGATAGGGAAGGTGATGGGTATATAGTGGTTCAAAACAATGCAGTTTTGTTATGAAGCATTAGAGAATGCCTCTTTTAAATGATTTCAGTAAATTTATATATATTCCAGATTTGAGGTACCCTTGCGGAGTATTGACCTGTGTCTTCACTCAGGCCACCCATACATAAAGAATGATTTTACAATAGAAAAAATGGCTTGAGAATCTTTCTTTGAGAGTAACTTGTAGGTAAAGCATGCACAGATAGACGAGATAAAAAGAAGTAAAATAGTTAGCAATGATGGGGAAGGGGCCCGTTTGATGACAGAAAACAGACTGCTTTACTTGGCTAGCATACATTCTTGTGCACAGGGCATTTGTGGAACTGCAGTAAACCCAGGGCTAAGTGCTTCATTTACTTTGAGAAAAATATTTAGGCACTTGGAAATTTCAGCTTCCTATGTTTTGGAACAAATTCTTTAAGCTGTAGCTATATATCACCTTTATTTCTTTTTAAAAATTTCACATGATCATTTTGCAAGGAGGAAAAAAATCTAAGCAAATCTAAGTTCCTGTTTAAATTACTGTTGTCATTTTTGTTTTGTTATTTTGTGTTACGAAACTGGAATAGATGGAATGCCAATGCATGGGAGGTCAAAATATGAAATCAATTCCTGCATTTGTGCAGTTCCAATTTCTATGCAAAGCATATGGCTTTCCCCTTTTTCTTGCTTAGATAATTACTCCATTTCCCTTTGCTATTACTATCAGCTTTCTCTTCATACCATTCTCTTTTGTGGGATGCAGAGGGATGTCATATTATCTACTATTAAAATATCCTTCTGGCTTGATTGCACTGCATATCTGCTTATTTTAAAAATCAATAAGTGTTTTCCAAAAGGGAGCATGATCACAGAGTGAAAAATATGAGAAATGTGCCGGAAACTTAACACAAAGATGACTACATGCTCTATTTACTGTATTCAATTAAACAAAAAAGAATCTCACTATTGGTTAAAATTGTAGAATTTTCAGTATAGAAAAAAGAAACAAAGAAAGCAGTGATTAAAAGTATAAAACTTTTAATAGCTGCAAAATTCAAGAGAATAAATCAAGATTATCTCTCCAGATTATTCATATTGTAGAAAAACATCAAATTTTCTGTGGTGATCATGTAAATACTTTCATAGGAGTTACCTAAGTCTTATAAAAATTTGCAATTAATAGTATGTTCTTTGAATATAAACTATGGCATATGCCTTCATACGGGTGATCTAAACTTGACAGTGCTCGTTTATGAAAAAGTGATCCTGTATATCTTTGTGTAGAATATGCAGTTGTAATGAAAAATTTGTTCTATTGTTCTAATAGGAAATTCCACTTTCCATTCAATATGATTATTTTCATATTCCTAAATTCATTTTAATTACATTTTATCTGATTTTAATTCGCAAGAGAGATGACTTTAGTGTCATAAAAATATGTAGGTAACTTTCTAAAATTACAGAGATATGTGAGTATATTAATCATCATAGTCCTCCACCTGGTGAAGTACTTCTAGTAACAACTAATAAAGTAGTTAAAGAAGTACATTTCAGGATCTTTCCTCTCCTTAGTACAAATCAATAGAAAGCAACTTTCAGAAAAAATTATTGAAATTAATAGGGACAGAACAAAACAATGCAAATAATAAATCAGAATATTAATGACATAATGAACTTCTCAAGACCCTAAGAAACAGAAAAGCAAATGGATGACAAAGGAGGCAAGAAAAATTTGAAGGTTATTAGAAAGGAGCACCTAGCCGCTGAATGAAGAAATTTAAATAAAATGAAGAAGAATTTCAATAGTGTGAAAAACATCTGACTTATTTACCCACATATAAACCATTTTTTGGTAACGTTATATACATTCTATTGCTGGTGCTCTGCAGTTTTTTTTTTAGATACATATTTCCATCTGAGATTTTCTTCTGCCTGAAGGACTTCCTTAAGTATGTTTTGTAGTGTGCATCTACCGGTGATGAAAACTTTCAGCTCTTTTATGTCTGAAAAAGTTGTAATTTAGCTTTGGTTTTGCAAGATATTTTTATTAGAGATAGAATTCTAGGTTGATACTTTTTTTTCCTCTAGTACTTTAAGACATTGATTCCACTGTCTTCTAGCTTACGTTGCTGTTGCTGAGAGCCCCATTGTCATCCTTACTTTTGTTCTTCTGGATGTCACATGCTTTTCTATCTGTTTTTTATATTTTCTCTTTATTATTAATTTTAATGTGTGTAAGTGCCTTTTGTTTTCATGTTATTTATGTTTAGAGAACCTCAAATTTGAATTCCATTTCACTGATCTTTTCTTTTTCAATATTTAATTTGCCATTACCCTCACTAAATATGTTTCCTTCTCAGAAATTATAATTTTCATCTCTAGCAGTTTCATTTGGTCTTTGTGTAACTTCAATGTCTCAACTTTGGAACATATAGAGTACAGCTATAAT